>NC_000007.14:61578020-61878020 GCF_000001405.40 Homo sapiens
GAATTCATTGAATGGACTCGAATGGAATGATCAAACGGACTCGAATGGAATCATCAAAAGGAATCAAATGAAATCATCAAATGAACTCAAATGCAATTATCAAATGCACTCGAATGGAATCATCGAATGGACTCTATGGATTCATCATCAAATGAAATTGAATGGAATCATCAAATGTACACGAATGGAATCATTGAATGGACTCGAATGGAATCATCGAATGCACTCGAAGGGAATAATCATCAAATATAATCGAATGGAATCAACCAATGGAATCAAATGGAATCATCAAATGGAATCGAATGCAATCATCTTTGAATGGAACCGAATGGAATCATAGAATGGAATCAAAGGCAATCATTGTCAAATGGAATCAGATGGAAATATCATCAAATAGAATTGAATGGAATCATCGAATGGACTTGAATGGAATCATCGAATGGACCCGAATGGAATCATTATTGAATGGAATTGAATGGAATCATGGAATGGTCTCGAATGGAATCATCATCGAATGGAATCGAATTTAATCATCAAATGGAATCAAATGGAATCGTCATTGAATGGAATCAAATAGAAGCAGCATCAAATAGAATCGAATGGAATCATCATCAATGGAATTGAATGGAATTTTCTTCAAATGGAATCGAATGGAAACATCATCGAATAGAATACAATGGGATAATCGAATGAAACTGAATGGAATCATCATCAAAACGAGTCAAAATAAAACAAAGAATAGAATCCAACAGAATCATTGAATGTATTCAAATGGAATCATCATTGAATGGACTCGAATGGATTCATCATCGAATGGAATCAAATGGAATCATTGAATGGACTCAAATGGTGTCATCGAATGGAATCTAATGTAATTATCATCAAATGAAATCAAATGGAATCATCGAATGGAATCAAATGGAATCATCATCGAATGGAATCAAATAAAATCATGGAATGCACTCGAATAGAATCATTGAATGGACTCAAATGGAAACAACATTGAGTGGAATTGAAAGAAAACATCAAATGGAGTTGAATGGAATAATCGAATGGAATCATCATCTAATGGAATAGAATGGAATCATTGAAGGGACCCAAAAGGAATCATGATCGAATGTAATCAAATGGAATCATCGAATGGAATCCAATGGAATCATCATTCAATGGAATCGAATGGAATCATCATCAAATGTAATCGAATGGAATCATCATCAAAGGGAATAGAAAGGAATCATCATCAAATGGAATCGAATGGAATCATCAATAAATGGAATCGAATGGAGTCTTCGAATGCAGTCCGTTAGAATCATCATCGAATGGAACCGAATGAAGTCATCATCTAATGGAATCAAATGGAATCATCGAATGGACTCAATGGAATCATCATTGCATGGAATCGAATGGAATCGAATGGACTCAAGTGGAATCATCATCGAATGGAATCAAAACAATAATCGATTGGACATGAATGGAATCACCATCAAATGGAAATGAATGGAATCTTCGAACGCAATCGAATGAAATTATTGAACGGAATCGAATAGAATCATCATTGAATAGAATCGAATTGGATCATCATCGAATAGAATCTAATGAAATCATCATCGAATGGAATCTAGTGGAGTCATCATCTAATGGAATTGAATGGAATCAGCAAGGAATGGAATCGAATGGAGAAATCGAATGGAATCCGTTGGAATCATCATCGAATGGAACCGAATGCAGTCATCATAGAATGGAATTGAATGGAATCAACGAAGGGACTCGAATTGTGTCATCATTGAATGTAATAGGATGGAATCATCAAATGGACTCGAATGGAATCATCCAATGGACTCTAATGGAATCATCATCGAATGGAATCAAATGGAATCGAATTGAATCATCGAATGGACTCTAATGGAATCATCATCGAATGGAATCGAATGGAATCATCGAATGGACTCGAATGGAATCATTGAATGGACTCGAATGGAATCATCATTGAATGTAATCGAGTGGAATCCTCAAATGGAATCAAATGGAATCATCAAATGGAATCGAACAGATTTATAAGAAACTTACTTGAACCAAACAATAGAAAAACAAACAAACCAAAACCCCCGAAAACTGTGATGAGCAAAGTAGACATCAGAACAGGAAATATCACTGGGGATGAAGAATAACATTTCACAATGACAAAGGGCAAAATGTACCAAGAAGTCATGTAAATATGAAATATGTACGCACACAATAGCATTACTTTAAAATACATAATATAAAACCTATTAAAACTGAAAGGTAAAATAGTAAAACCATAGTCATCCATGGGAATTTCAACAGTCTCCTGCCAGAAATTTTTAAATTTTGTTAAATGTAATGTTGGGAAGGTTAGAGAGGATCTTATAAATATAATTAGCCAACTTGATCTAATTGAATCTTTTAGAATAATCTAAGGATGAGGAATGAGGTAGCAGAGAAAGAAAAGGCAGACATCAACGTGACATTAGTGTTTCAAGGCTATGAGAATACACCAATAATGGTGTGTGTGTGTGTGTGTGCAGATGGTAAGCTCAATCTTAAAAATGTTGAGTTTTAACTGACAATTCATTATTAGGAAAGATAAGAGGAAATGATATCTAGTGAGAGGCTATATGACTGAACTCTAAGAGCAAGGTCACAGCAGAAATTGTGTACTTGACAGCTCTATAAGGAGGTCAGTCAAAAATAAGTCAGTGATGAATTCTCTGGTGTAAAAGCAGAGGAATGAGGATTAGATTTAAAACACATGGAAGCAGAGTGACTTATGATAAAAACATGAGCTTGAAAATCCTGCAGAGAGGGCTTTAAATCCTGGGTAAGATATTCTGCTTGTGTAGGCAATAGTGATAAAAACACAACAACAAAGAGAGGTAAAGAGCACTTTCCTTTGATATAAGTAAAGGGCACGTCTTATTGCACATATATATATATATATATATATATATATATGTATGTATGTATTCAACTGACATTCAACATGTTTCTCTCACTGAAACAGCAAGCTCTCCAGGCCTTCATGTTCCCAGTGAGGTATGTAACCTTCTGATGATTATACTCACCCTCCCTCATTGCAAAGCTCCCATTGTTATTGTCTTGGCTCTGGATTCCCTCAAAAATAGACTATGAAACAAATATCTGGGGTCAGATACTTTAATCAGAAATTGAGTGAGAAAGCACAGAAGTGGAGAAAATGAAACAGAACACGAAGCCAGTGTGAATGAGTAGTTACTGCTATGTGCTCAGTAATGATGGAGGTATGGAGATTGTGTCAAAATAACTTTACAAAGAGATGGGGATGCTGGAATTCCCATCTCTTATTGCTTAAGGATTGCCTTAGAATCATTAACTCTCCACCCTTAACTCCTTCTTTTTTCCTATGTGTGGTTGAGAAGCACTGGTTAGCCTCAAGAAGCTTGCAGGCAGGCCCAAAAATCAGAAAGACAGGCATGATGTGGGGAGCTCTCAGTTAGCTGGAAACAGGTGAATTTCAGGTGAACACATTGAGTCCAGGACATAGAAGACAAGTCATCAGCAATATCTGCTATAGCCAGTTTTCTTTTTCTTTTTAAGAATATATATACTTTTTATTGGGGGTCCCCAAGTCCCCCTTTGGTTTAATGATTCACATCACCCAAGAAAGCTGATTTTTTTTGTGGTTATAGTTTCTAACAGTGAAAGAAGCCAGATTAAAATAATCAGAAGCATAAAAGCACATAAAGTAGAGTCCAGGACAAACCAGATGTGAGCTTACAGGTGTCCTTTCATAGTGGGGACTTCACACTGACTAATTTTCCTTACAATGGTGTGAGACAACATGTGTGAACTTGTTGCCAACTAGGGAAGCTCCGTCAGTCTTGAGTCCAGGGTTTTTATTAGGATTCCACCACATATGCATCGAGCGTCCTGTGACTGAACTTAGCAACTTAGTTCCCAACCTCCCTATGCCCTAAGAGAGGTCATATTAATATGGCATTACACAAAGTCATAGGCATACAGAAACAGGTACTCACAAGAAATCACGTTGTTAGCATCAGTTATTTGATATGACCTACGTTGTCACGCATACAAAGACTCTCATCAGGCAACATATACCAAGGGCTCATAGGTTATCATCTCCCAGGAGCTTGTCAAGGACCAGTCCTGAAGACCTTTGGAATGCGCAAGGTTTTGGAAAGCCATGTCTGCAGAATTAACCCTTCATTACACAACCTCCAAGAATTTTTTTTATCTTTAAAAATGTTCTTTGATCTTTGACGATGTACAAACCAATACTGAGTAATTAGTAACAACAGTGTACTCCTGAGTACTTGCACCTGCAAGGAGAAAAAGGACAGATGCACTTACATAGGACAGATGCAAATAGACACCACTATGACAAGTAAAGCTGGAATAATCAATAAATTCCTAAAGACAAAGTGGGGCTGGTGAGATTGGGAGACCGCTGACAGCTGCAGAAGTTGGGAAAGATCCATCATCTTGAAAACTTTTTCCCCACAATCCCACTGCGATCTCTCAAGCAATTGGTAAGGAATCCAAGAGAGTCTGTATATGACACAGATCAGGGAGAGCAGAAAACTTGGGAGGTGACCAGGTCTTGGGGTCCGAGCCCTTATGAATGGGATTAGTGCCTTTATAAAAGAAGCTCATTGGAGTTCTTGTGTGCCTTTCACTATGTGAGGACATAGAAAGAAGGCAGCATCTGTGAACCATGAAATGGGCTCTCATCAACACTGAATTTGTGAGCATCTTGACCTGAGATCTCACAGCCTCAAGAAGTGTGAAAAAAGAAATATCTGTTGCTTTTTAGTCACTCAGTTTATGTTATTTTGTTATAAGAGTCCAAACAGACCAATATATTCCACTTAATATGTAGGGGAAGGCAACAAAAACTGCCACACTTAGGATCCTCCTGATGCTGGGATTATGAAAACAGGAAAAACAAAACAAAACTGCTCTTGAAGGTGAAGGAGGAATATCACTGAGCTCACCAACACAGCCAGGAAAAGAACAGAAGTGTGAGAAGTCTACATTCCTGAGACCCTGAGAAAAAGTACCTGCATAAGACTGAGATGAAATTACCTACTCTAGTTATGATTGAAATCCCAAAAAGAAAAGAGGGAAAAATAATGGAGAAAAAGAAATATTTTTCAAAATAACTGCCAAAATATTCTAAAAGAAGTGACAGAAAATCAAACTTCAAATATAGGAAACTCAGAGAATGTTAAATAGAACAAAAAGAAATAAGAAGTACATCTTGAAAAATCTTTAAAAAATCAAGTCTAAATTTTATATCTTGCTCCAAATATATAGAGATATAAATAGGTTATCATCAAGATATGGAGAAAACCGTATCATGGAAACACTAAAATAAGGCTGTGGAAGGACTACATTGATATTAGCCACAACAGAGTTCAGAACAAGAAATAGTATCAGAGATGAGAGATAATAGATAATAGAATAATCAATTCTCAAGAAGATGTAAACATCCTAATAATTAGGTTATGCAGCTAACAACAGAACCTCCAAATACATGAGGTAAAACAGGAAAGAAATCAAAGGTGAACTAGAAAAATCCAAAATTATGTTTGCAGACTTCAACACTTTTGTCTTAGTAATGGAAAGACTAGGCACAAATTCAGTAATCATGTGGGAGATAAGAACAACAATATCACCAACAAGACATCCAATCTTCAATGGCAGATACTCTTTCCTTTCAAGTGAAAAAAAAAAACAGTATGGCATATTCTCTAACAAACCCAGAATTTTTAATATTTGCATTCTTCCTTTCTTCTTTCCATCGTCCTTTCTCTTCTCTTCCCTTCCCTTGCCTTCTTCCTTCCTTTCTTCTTTTCATCTTCCTTTTCTTTTCTTTTTTCTTTTCCTTTCTTTCTTTTCTTTCTTTTTTTCTCCTTCTTTCCTTCTTTCCTTCTTTCTTTCTTTCCTCTAATTCTTCCTTCCCTCCGCCCTCCCTTCCTTTCTCCCTCCCTTTTCTTCCTTCTTTTCTCATATTCTTTCTTTTTTCTCACGTTCTGGCTTCCTTTCCTTTTTTCTCCCTTCCTCCAGCCCTCCATTTCTTCCTTCCTCCCTCCCTTCCTTTCCTCTTTTTCTTTCCTACCTTTGCCTGTTTATTACCTTTGTTCCTTTGCCTTCCTCCCTTTTACCATTCTCTCTTCCTCCTTTCCTTCCACCCTTCCTCCTTTCTTTCTTTCTTTTTCTCTTTCTCTCTTTCTTTCTCTTTCTTTCTTTCTTTCCTTCCTTCTTTCTTTCTTGTGTTCTTGCTTTCTGTTTTCTCCCTTCCTCCCTTTCTCCCTTCCTCCCTCCCTCCCTTCCTTCCCTCATTTCCTCCTTCTTTTCTTTCTTCTTTCTTTATTTCCTTCCTTCCTTCTTTTTATTTCTTTGTTTTCTTTTCTGTCTTTCTCTTTACTGCAATTCATATTATTTTAAAAAAATTAAGAGAGGGGGACAGAAAAATAAAGAACGCTTTAATCTGCAGGTAAATAGATTATGTCTGTTGTAGGTCAAAGAATAGCCTCCCAAAAATTTTCATGTCCTAATTCCCAGAGTCTAACATACAAATATGTTAGGTTGCACGGTAGTGTGAAATTAGATTTCAAGCGAAATTAAGGTTGCGGAAAAAATGATAGAGAGATTGTCTTAAATGGGTGGGATCAATGAAATCACAAACTTCATTATAAATGAAAGGAGAAGGCAGAAGAAAGGCAACCTTGGAGGTGGTGGCATGAGAAATTACTCAACATCACTGACTTTTAAGATACAAGAATGAGGACACAGCGCGGTGGCTCATGCCTAATCCCAGCACTTTGGGAGGCTAGGGTGGGTTTATCACGAGGTCAGGAGATTGAGACCATCCTGGCTAACATGGTGAAACCCCATCCCTACTAAAAATACAAATAATTAACTGGGTGTGGTGGCAAGTGTCTGTAGTCCAAGCTACTCAGGAAGCTGAGGCAGAAGAATCCCTTGAACCCGGGAGGCAGTGGTTGCAGTGAGCTGAGATCGTGCCACTGCACTCCAGCCTGGGTGACAGAAGGAGACTCCATCACAAAAAAAAAAAAAAAAAAATAGGATATAAGAATGAGGACATGTTCCAAAGAATAAAGGTGGCCTGTGGATGCTGAAAAAATCAAGTAATAGATTCTGCCACATAGCCCTCAAAAAGACTGCAGTCCTACCCAAAACTTGATATTAGCCCTGTGAGTTTCATTTAAGGCTTCTGAACTACAGAACTGTAGGATTAACGGTCACTTTATTGTAAGATATGAAATTTGTGGTAATTGGTTACAGCAGCAAGAGGAAGTTTATACTGTAATTGTATCATGAAAATGAGAACCATAATTTACAACTGCTCTTAATACTGCACTTGGATGTTTGAAATCACGTACATGGAAACGATCTCTATGTGTATGAGGGAGGATAGCAAATTGATGCCAAAATAATGCAAATGCAAATCTTACACTCATTTCTATGTGGGTTTCATTTAATCTTTGAAATGAAAATGAAATTAAAAGATTGTGATCTTTTGATGAAATTAAACTAAAATGAACAATAACAAAATAAGAACTTACTTATATTCTTTATATGGTCAATAAAGAAGTGATAGTGGAAAAAACAAGATCAAATGAAGGTGATGATTTAAGAAGTTGGAAAGATAGCTGAAACTACAAAATATTATATAACCAGTGAACACTTAGACACACTGATTGATGAACTTCAGCTTTTGGCTTGGTGAGAGCATAAAATGAGAGCAGCTGAGGTTTGCAAATTTGTAATCTCCTTGTGGAAAAACAGGGGAAAACACATCTCAGCCTAATAAGATTTATCTACTAAAGAGTCTAGACTTGATCCATTTGTCCTTGTAATTCAAAAGCTAATTCAAATACTGATTTGATGTATTGTGTGAACAACCATTGTTGATTATCATCGCATACCTGGCATTCTCTCATATCTGATATCTAAAATATTTGGTAATTCCTGGACTTTCTCTTTTCAAACCCAGTACGGTTTAATTTGAGTCTTAGAACAGTTGTGTTTGAGAAATTCTTCCCTCTACTGCATCTGTGAATGGGCATAGCATGGTTACATACATACTGTCACTCCATAGAACATTTGTTAAATTAAAGCCAAAGTTTAAAGCAAGAGCTTTAACTTACTGGTTTTACAAATGGTTTTCTCCCCAATAGCCAGAACAATATTGATACCCTCACACCTTTTAACATCAAGCTTGGTGTTGTCTATTTTTCAGGTGCTGTCATCTATATGATCTCAGTATTTTAAAAATCAGCTTCCAGCCCATATGGTGGTTCATGCTTGTAATACCAGCAGTTGAAGAGGCTGAAATGCGAGGATTCCTTGAGCCCAGGAGTTCACAAGCAACCTGGGCAACATAGCAAGACACAGTCTCTATCAAAATTAAAAAAAAAAAGTGTTCCTATTTCTCCATATCCTCTCCAGCACCTGTTGTTTCCTGACTTTTTAATGATTGCCATTCTAAGTGGTGTGTGATGGTATCTCATTGTGGTTTTGATTTGCATTTCTCTGATGGCCAGTGATGATGAGTATTTTTTCATGTGTTTTTGGGCTGCATAAATGTCTTCTTTTGAGAAATGTCTGTTCATGTCCTTCGCCCACTTTTTGATGGGTTTGCTTTTGTTTTTCTTGTAAATTTGTTTGTGTTCATTGTAGATTCTGGATATTAGCCCTTTGTCAGATGAGTAGGTTGCGAAAATTTTCTCCCATTTTGTAGGTTGCCTGTTCACTCTGATGGTAGTTTCTTTTGCTGTGCAGAAGCTCTTTAGTTTAATTGGATCCCATTTGTCAATTTTGTCTTTTGTTGCCATTGCTTTTGGTGTTTTAGACATGAAGTCCTTGCCCATGCCTATGTCCTGAAAGGTAATGCCTAGGTTTTCTTCTAGGGTTTTTATGGTTTTAGGTCTAATGTTTAAGTCTTTAATCCATCATGAATTGATTTTTGTATAAGGTGTAAGGAAGGGATCCAGTTTAAGCTTTCTACATATGGCTAGCCAGTTTTCCCAGCACCATTTATTAAATAGGGAATCCTTTCCCCATTGCTTGTTTTTCTCACTGTTGGTGGGACTGTAAACTAGTTCAACCATTGTGGAAGTCAGTGTGGTGATTCCTCAGGGATCTAGAACTAGAAATACCATTTGACCCAGCCATCCCATTACTGTGTATATACCCAAAGGACTATAAATCATGCTGCTATAAAGACACATGCACACGTATGTTTATTGTGGCATTATTCACAATAACAAAGACTTGGAACCAACCCAAATGTCCAACAATGATAGACTGGATTAAGAAAATGTGGCACGTATACACCATGGAATACTATGCAGTCATAAAAAATGATGAGTTCATGTCCTTTGTAGGGACATGGATGAAATTGGAAATCATCATTCTCAGTAAACTATCACAAGAACAAAAAACCAAACACCGCATATTCTCACTCATAGGTGGGAATTGAACAATGAGATCACATGGACACAGGAAGGGGAATATCACACTCTGGGGACTGTTGTGGGGTGGGGAGAGGGTGGAGGGTTAGCATTGGGAGATATACCTAATGCTAGACAGCGAGTTACTGGGTGCAGCGCACCAGCATGGCACATGTATACATATGCAACTAAGCTGCACAATGTGCACATGTATCCTAAAACTTAAAGTATAATAAAAAAAAAAGTGGGCATGGTGATGTGCACCTGTTGTCCTAGCTATTTGGGAGGCCAAGGTAGAAGGATTGCTTGAGCTTGGGAGGTTGAGGCTGCAGTGAGCAGTGATTGCACCACTGCACTCCAGCCTGGGCAACAAAGCAAGACCCTATCTCAAAAAATATATATAATAAAAATAAATATCAGCTCTCATTGATTTCCATGTAAATATGCACAGGTGATGTCCATATAGACATAAATAATAATATTTCTGACAATGGGTCCATATGATCTTCAAAATGTAAAATGCCCATCTGTGTAATTGACTGGTTAGTCTCATTAATGAATATAGATTTAATTCTACTTTCTTGTTCTAGATAAATTATATAATCTAGCTTTTCATTTCACTTATTTACTGATAACAACCGGAAGAATGACAAGATATCTATTTTGCAAAATTACTCTGGTAGGAGTAAAGATGAAACAATGAAAGAATTGCACGGAAAACTAGAAAAAAGTATGGTCTTCTGATATTCTATCACATCACATACTAAAGGCCTCATAAAACTCAGATATTTTGTCTAAAAATTTTATTTTCATCATAGGAATGATCAAAGCATGAGACCACAATTGTATTAAAATGTGCTTGTATCACAAGCACAGGTGCTAAAAAGGAGAGGAAAACATCCTTACTGATATTTTCAACGTATGTTTTACTTTTCGTCAACATGAACCCCAACTTGATATGATGCAGACTGAAGGAAATCACCCGTAATTCCATATGAAGAAGGTCTGTGATATTTTATGGGAAAATAAATAGACAAAATGCCAACAGAAACCCTATCAAGCATGAAGCTTTATGGAGCAAACACAAATCCAGTGGTGAAAGATACACACTCGAGTTCTGTTTGCTGTCTTAGAACAATACGGTTTAGAGGTGACTGGTGGATGAGGAGAACATATGCGAGTTCACCAAAGAGAAAAGCTGAATGAGGCAATGCCTCTTCCTGACCATATCTCTTACTCAGATAATGATATAATTTATTGTCCAGTAAAGGGTATATTAAAAAATCATATTAAAAGTCATGCAGCGAAGTTGTCCAGGGAAATCAAGACTTAACAGTCTCACTGTGACAATAATGAACAGGGGGATACCCTCAAGATAGACTAGGACATGACCCCACACTGGCAGGTAGTAGTACCAGAAAAGAACACATGGAAAATCTTTACCTTATGCTTGAGGTAGGGACCAGGCTAAAGCGAAAGCCAGACCTAAAATTCTATCTAAAATAAATCCACAATCAAAGAAAATGTGTGGTGTTCAGGCATAGAATGTCTTTACTGGATCATTGAAATAGTAAGATAAATTCAACTTTTTACATTGTTTTCTTTTCATACAGTTAGGGCTTGAGGTTTGTCTCCGGAGAGTGACTGTCAATTGGAGCCCTGCCTTTCTGGGGTTCTGGTCAGGGGGTTGTGGATGCTTAACATGTGCCTTTCACAGGACACTTCCTTACCCCAGCAGTGGCCAGGTGTGCATCCCACGACCAGGCCTCCCTCTCACAGAACATCTGTTGAGACTAGGAGATGCCTGGTGACTGTTGCCTGACCTGTGTCCTGTGTATTTCTGACAAGAGCCACTCTCAGAGACCCTGGCCAGGAGGAGAGTTAGGTTCCAGTGTAGGTCAGGTCAGACCCATGGAGGCCACAGAACCAAACATGGGAAATCACAGAAGTAGGTTTATTACTCACAGATCCAGAGAGAAGAGGGTAGCTGAGAAGAGGGTTTAGCTGTGTCCCCAGCCAAATCTCATCTTGAATTCCCACATGTTGTGGGAGGGAACAGGTGGGAGGTAATTGAATCATGGGGGCAGGTCTTTCCCATGCTGTTCTTCTGATAGTGAATAAGTCTCACAAGATCTGATGGTTTTATAAAGGGGGGTTTCCTGCACAAGCTCTCTTGTCTTGTCTGCTGCCATGTGAGACGTGCCTTTCAGCTTGCACCATGATTGTGAGGCCTACCCAGCCATGTGGAACTGTGCATCTACTAAACCTCTTTCTTCTGGAAATTACCAAGTCTTGGGCATCTCTTTACCGGTGGTGTGAAAATGGACTAATACAGTAGCACACCTCATAGGGCTGAACAAAATGGTGAAGATGAGTGGGGAGCAGGAGAGAGAAAAGAGGTCTGTGGGACTCCAGCCTTTATTGGGCCCAGAACATTATCCAAATAAGTTTTCCACGGGGCACTAGTCAGTGGGGTGAGTGCCAGCAGGCACATTTCTTGACTCCCGCTGCAATCGAGCAGGTCACTCTGGCATGTGGGGCTGTCCATGTCCTCTGTGAGGTTTGTGGGGTGATTCAGGTAGGTTGTATCAAACGGTTACATAGCTGGTAGTCACCAGGAGGAGGCAACTGTGTAGGGTCAATATCTGGGCCAACCACACTGAGGAACTGTGAGGGTTAGATCTGGAAATTGTCAAGGGAATCTGAACCCAGCTACCATATGAGAGAGTTCAACTTATGTTCAATGTGAATGCCATGGCAATATTAAAAGGTAAGAGTTCAGTCCATACATGCTTGAGGTAAATAGGAGAAACCTAGAATTTATGTATACAGTGAGAAGATTGGATGCATTTCTTGTCACATATTTTAATACTATCAGCTTATTGTATATGTCAATCCATCAGGCATTCAGAAATACATGCTTATGAAATTTTTTTGCACCATCAGACAAAAGACAAGGGTAGAAGACATTTGTAACCCTATAAACATTAGTAAATTAAAAACAGAAGGACCTTTATGTCCTAACATATCTGTGTTGTGAAAGGCTGCCCTGTGAAATACGGGATTTCTTAAACATATTTTAAAAATCATAGGTGTCAATATTTTTTAGAAATCCATTTAAATTTTCTCTTGTTATTTTACAATGCCTATTTATTTATTTACTGGCTCTGCTGATTTTGATGTATATCCTAAATTTTATATTTTCTTTAAAGGATGTTTTATACAACTTTATGAAAAATATTTCAGTATCTTCACATTCTCTCCCTGTCCTTTTGTTTTGCTCTTATATGGTGGTCTGGAGTCTTTTCTCTGGCTTTTCAAACCTAGTAAGACTAAGACACTAAAGTAATTTTGCCGGTGGTTTGGTAATGCCTTCTAAAGCACATCCTAAGTTCTCGTGCATACAGGGGTCTCTTTTGAGCTCTGTGCTTTTGAGATCCCATGTACCTAAATTCCAGTACTCCAAATCAGTACTGCTCAGTTTCAGTGACTAAGTTTATAAATGTATTTTAATAGCAAGTTAGGTTAGTGCACTCTTGCTTCTGTCTTGACTGCTTATATAAATGTATATTCCTTTAAATGAATCTTGGAATTTGTTTAAAAATTTTAAATTATACTAATGAAACTGTATATTGTTGTGAATTCATAAGTGAATTTGGAAAGGATTTGTCTTTATGATACTAAATCTTTTTTATCCAAGAATCATATGTGTCTTTATATTTATTCCAGTCTATATTTATATCACTGAGTAAATATATAGAAATGTAGATACATACAGCTGTAGTTATAGATACAAATATAGATATAACATGTTAAATCTATATCTATCCCATATAACATATATACATGTTATATGTGTGTGTGTATATATATATATGATTATGTTATTAAAGAGCTCCCTTAAAATTTTTCTTTTATTTCCCATATAATTTTAGGTCGAGTTTGAATTTTCCTTGTATAAACAAGCAAATATTTATACTAGTTTTAATACAGATGTTTAGACATTGTATCTTATTTTAGCATTGAATATTTTCACAATTATTATAAATATTATCTAATAATAATGTACCAGTTAAAAATATTTAAAATTTTACCTTTGAATTATTTCACTGTTGAATTAAAATTCCTTTAATGTGATAGTAAATTTCTATGTTATGCTTTCTCTATGCATATGCAAATTAATCTATCCACTTCTCTATCTCTTTGTAGTGACATGAAAATCAGGCCTCTCTTCTTCTAATGGACATACACGTTTCCATATAGAATATCAGACTCTTTATAGCATTTAAAATCTTTAAAGACATAAATATAGCCTTTTGACAAATATACTTTAGCATGTACTGAGAATCCCCTATTTATTTTTAATTTGGACTAATCAGTATGAATATTAATATTATTGGATTACCAAATTTTGAAACACACTTTCATCCCCAAGGTGGATATTTGTTTTATTTTTTTTGGCAATTTCTTGTCTTACTGTTTGAAATATTGTTGGATATTATTTATATTTTATTTAGCATTTTAGTATCAACATTTGTAATTCAGGTACTCTACATATTTTTTCTTCAATATCTGGAGGGTTTTATAATTACTGCTATATTGGATTTGTAGTAGACATTGACAAAAATTATTCCTGTATGTTTTATAGCTGTAAGAGGGAAACTAATATATTTTACCCCTAAATATATTTCCTTGATATATTTCAAAATGGCTATTGAGAAGGGCTGGAAATGCAAAGTTAGCTTTAAAGCTGTCTTGGGGAGATTTTTATCCGTATAGAATCTGCCTTGATGCAGCCAGGCTTTATCTGAGGTCTGCCCTCTTCTCTAGATCTAAGAAAGTTTAACTGAGAGTCTGAGGTCTCCAAAGGTCTGAAAGAAACATTTTCTGTCTATTCTCTCTGAGGACTGCTCCGAGTGAGGTTCCACCTATGTAATAAGTCCATTCTTGCTAGCCAGGTTCGTTTCCTCACATAACGTTTCTTTTTTTTCCCTGTGATCTAAGACCCCATTCTTTTTGTAAACTTCATGTGGTAGATAAGCTTCTGCACGCATCGTGTGTCTGGGTCATCGTTCTAAGGGCTCCACTGTACACACATTGCAGAAACCTGTATGACTTTTCTACTATTTTTCTGCCTCCTATTAGTGATTTTCAGGGAAGCTTCAGAAGGCAAAAGGGACCTTCTCCTTTAGCCCATTCTCAGACAAAATCCCCCAACATGTAACTGATTCCTAATAGCTTAAAATCACTTTGAAAAATCCATATATTTATAACCTTTTCTTCCCTCTATGATTTCTGGTCAGCTTGGGTTTTGTTTTTCATTCCATTTACTTCATCCTCGAAAAGATCTATTTTACGTCTATTTATTCTCATTTATGGACATTGAGAAAAGAAAATAACTTTCATGAGAGAAATGCAAGTCCTTTTAAATAATCAGGTCCAGAGAGATATTCAAATGAGACAGCAGTTCTGTCCTGCTCGTCTTTGAGCTGTGTGTTCATCTAGGCTGCTTGCTGTTGCCACAGTATCTATAAATTAACCAATAACGCCACACCAGACACTATAACCCACACCCAATAATAGTGTAACAGTGTATAGCCAGTCACTAATAAATGTTATTTCCATAAGCCAATGAGAATTTGTGACAAACCTCTTTGCATCATCCCACTTCTGGAACCTTTTTTGCCTTCAAGAAACTGCTTGTTGCAAAGCTCCAAAGGGAGTTTATATCCAAGGATACTTGGGTCTGTTTCTTCCAGGCAGCTGTCCTCATTGTGGCTCAAGTAAACTCTTTGAATTTCGTTTTGTGCTTCAGCCCCTTCCACTTAGATTAACAACATGGATTTGTGTCACCATGTACAGCAATTAAAATGTTTACACTTTTCCCCTCGAGGGCACTGATGTGTTTTCCTGAGCACTTGGAATAGCTACGTAGTGTTTCCTGTCTAGATTATGGTTTCTGAACCTTGGTGCTACTTACCTTTAGGACCAGAGGATTCTTTGTTGTGGGAGGCTGCCCTAGCAGTGCTAGGTGTTTCGTTTGACCTCTAAATTTCACACCTCCACCAGTCTTGACATCCCCACAATAACCCTAGACATTGACAAATGTCTCCTGGGGAAAACTCTCCACCAGTTGACAAGCAAAATTCTGGAAATATTGGAGTTGTCAATTGAGATTTTATGTTATCCAAAACAAATACTTTTCCTTGTTTTTAAACATCTACTTCCATCTACTTATCTACTTATTTTTACTTTTATTTGTAACTTAATTCCATCAAGGAGGGAGAGTGCATTTTCTGTTATGCTAAATTTTTGAAGAACGTATTGATTTTTTGTGACCTGATATATAGATGATATGTAGATATTACATGTTTGTATTATCAAATTTCAGGGCGATAATAAAATAAATACTTATAATATTTATATTTTCACTGTATATTAGTTATTTCCTTTCTTCATTACAGGAGTTTTTCAACCTATAGGCTATTTTTCAATTCTTGGTTATCCAGTAGATTTTGAAATGTTATGATTAAATGTCTACTTCTCAAGCATTCATCTTTGGAAATGAAACAATCCCAAGCTCTTATAATGCACATCATATAAAGGGCAGAATAGTCAATATATGGTTCAGAAATAATTATGTAATATTTATAAGAAAATTATAAATTTAGATCCTTATCTCAGATAACAATAGTCCAAATTAAAATTTGATTTTGTTACATAATTTAAAATGTCACCAGAATACTAGTAAAATGTAGATAAGTTTATATAATCTTTTTAGCTGAAGGACTTTATTAGCATAAATTCAAATACAGGAACCAAAGTAAGATTGAGACCTATAGTCAAAGCTTAAAATGTACACATTATAGGGACACGATTAAACTAATTTAAAGCATGATAACATGGAGAAATATTGCAAAACATACATTTTTCTGAATTAATTGTTAATATCTAATCATTATGTGAGAACAAAATGAAAGAGTAGCTACACACGCACACACTCACACACAAGTGCAATATTGTCAAATAAACGATGTTCAGCTACACTAGAAATCACACCTGTGTTTTCTCGACAGAAAAGATTAAAAATCACAATAATATTTACTGTACATAGGGAGGTAAAGATACTCAAAATATTACCCTAAAATACATTTTTTTTTGAGATGGAGTTTTGCTCTTATTGCCCAGGCTAGAGTGCAATGGCACAATCTTGGCTCACTGCAACCTCAGCCTCCCAGGGTCAAGTAATTCTCCTAGCTCAGCCTCCCAAGTAGCTGAGATTACAGGCATGCACCACCACACTTGGCTAATTTTTTGTATTTGGTAGAGACAGGGTTTCACCATGTTGGTCAGGCTGGTCTCCAACTCCTGACTTCAGGTGATCTACCCACTTCAGCCTCCCAAAGTGTTGGGATTACAGGTGTGCGCCTGGCCAGCTTTTTGACATATTTCAAGATGGTTACTCGGAAGAGTGGAGATAGCTTTTTCTACAAGAATAGCTGAAAAGCTGTGTTTGTTGGGGAGATTTGCATTTGTAGAGAAAATCTGCATTCACATAGACAGGCTTTCCCTGAGATACTCCCTTGTTTGGGTTTAGGAAAGATTAACTGAGCCTGGCACATTTACATTTCTAAACACCATTTCCTATCTATACTTCCCAAGAGGAGGGCTGCTCCCTGTGAGGTTTCATCCATGTAACAAGACCACCTCTGCTACCAGGCTCCTCTTTCTTCCTTGTCATCACCTGTCTTCTGCAAAGCCTGATTTACCAACCTACAGCTCTGTGTTTTCTGTAACCTCAAGACAGCATAGGCGTGCTGACTACCTTGCCTTTCCTGGAGTTTTTATATATATAGTATATATTTGTATATCTATTTATAATATAGAAATATTTGTATAGATATATTTATATACATTATGTAAACTCCAAGTGCATACTTGTGCACATATCTGTAAACCTTTTTTTCCTGTTAATTTGTACATTATCAGTTTGTTTTATAGAGTCAAGTAATTAAAGCTTCAAGGGAAAAATTTAAACTTTCCTATAAAGAAAAGACAAATATATAGGTGACATATAATATTTAGAGTGTAAGACGCTTTTTAAAGGTATATTTGCAATTTGTGTCAAAACATTTAAATATGCATTTGTTATTTTAACTACATAATTTCAAATAATTTAAGCCAAATACATAGTATATGCAGAAAATTTTGCAATATATCTATGTAGCACCTTACTGTGCATTACTGTGACCAGCCGTCTAATATAAAGAATTAATTAAGGTAGCAGCTACTTTTCATATAGCTCATTTTTTTCACAAACCTTTTAAATAAGACAAATAACATTCAAACTTTGTTTTTAAATTTGCAGAATAGTAGTTTTCAGCAGGTGGTTTATTTTAGCAAATTCCATCTTCACATTGTGCTATGCTTTTATGAGTTCCAGCTGTTAACGGATAATATTTTACTGCTGAAACTATCATGTGTGATATAATTGCTCATTATGTGCCTTAAAACACAAGCAATATAGTTATTTTCAACTTGGAGCAAATTAAAATCTTATCAGCAATTTAAAAACGCTAGAGTCGTCTTCTTCTTGTTAATTATTTTAAACTTGTATTTTTCTCTTTAAGTTTTTAGTGAGTTGTCTTATCAAGGAGAAGAACTCAAGCTGATTATTCTTTTTTTTCTCTTCCATCCACCTCGCAGGTGTGTTAGTAATTTCATTTCTCAGAGAAAGTTCTGTCATATCCATCTTACAAGATGAGAGACCTTTTAACATCTTCCATTCAGATGTGATACCAGTAATGGAAAATATTCCAGCTTCATGAATATGCTGATACAAATAGTTATCTGTCTAACCTCTTTCAGTGCCAAATGTTTACTTTACTCAGTGAATTACTCAGTTGACTGGTAATTTCTCCTGAAATCACTAATGAGAGGATCAGAGGTCTAGCTGTTGTCTGTACCTCATATGACTCCCAGTGCAGACAATTGTTTCTATGGAGCACAGACAGTTGAAAGGATTGACTTCCTGCCTAGAATAGTTTCCGCTGTGCTTCTTATCCTTCCTGTGGAGATTTCAGAATATCTGAATTGCTTTTCTCTCTTGAGAAATAACGCAACAATTCTCCCACCTGAGAGGAATGTAAACTGTAGTAAGTTAGCGGAACCAATCCGTAAAGTTTTTACATTGTTTGTTGCAAAATGCAGCGCTGGTGTCTCCATCACTAACCTTTTCTATCCCTCATTGCCCTTTCTTTGACTGCAATAGGATACCTCTAGGCAAATCTGTATTCCCGAGACAGAGTGCCCTTTTGGTGAACTATAAGCACACTCAATGGTAGGCTGAAATACTAGCTTTTATCTATGGCGAAATGGAATCATATCAGTGATTTTTTTTAAAAAGGAAATTTAACTCTTGCTACGGTTTGAATGCTTGCCCCTTCCAATCTCATGTTAAAATTTGATCCCCAATGTTGCAGGTGGGGCTTACTTGGTGGTGTTTGTACATGGGGTTGGAACTTCATGAATGGATAATACCCTCCCTAAGAAATCTAAAGCTATCCTCCCTCCTCGGTGCCCTCAGGAATGAGTGTACCATACTTTATTCAACTATAATTCCACCACCCATCCTTTTTGAGATATTGATTACATGTATGTTACACTGCTGCATATTGTCTGATGTATCAGTGAGTTTCTGGCCTTCTTATTTTAGTTTACCCTTTGTCCTTTAGTTTGTAAAGCTTCAATTTTTTTCTATAAATTTTCTGATGTTAGGATAAAACCCATTACTTGTTCTATCTCATGGAATTTTTATTTCAAATATTTATTTTTCATCTATACATGTCACATTTTTCATTTTATAACTTCTCTTTTTCTCCTATGTTCAATTTTCATTTAAGTACCTTGACATATATATGTATTTATCTATATGTATTTATAAAATATATTTAATTTAAGGACCTTGAAATTTTCCTCTTTTCTGTCATTTATAAATGACTTATTTTTATCCTGTTAATATATATCTTAATTATATATATCTTACGGCTTCTTTGCATGTCAGAGGTTTTTTTGGGTATGTTGATGTTACGCTATTGAATATCTACATTTTATTGGCTACCTTTGAACAATGTTTTGGCAGGGAATTCAGTAACTTCAGGATGAGTATTTGTCTGTTGTTGTTTTAAATCTTCTCTTTAAACTTTGTTGAGTTAGTCTAGAGCCATCTGTAATTTGGAGCTAAATGAGCACTGTCACTAGGGCATGAACCTCCAGTGGTCTTTACTGAATATCCTGGAGGTACAGAGGGGATTCCCTTCTCTGATTAGAATTTGGAATATAAAGAGAAAAGAGAAAAATAGAAAGCTATGCATAAACAGGTGCATTAAAATGAATTTTATGTGGGCTTTTTCATGAAAATATTCCTAAGGTATTTTATTTTTTTATTGTGGTAAAATACACATAACATAAAATGTACTCTGTTAACCATTTTAAGTGTACAGTTCAGTGGTACTAAATATAGTCATAACATTGTGCAGCCGTCCCTACCATCCATCTCTACAATTCGTTTCATCTTGTAAAACTGAAACTCTATACCCATTAAACAATACTTCCCCATTTCTTCCTCCCCCCAGCTTCTGACACCCATCATTGTACCATCTCTATAATGCTAATCAAGCATAGTGGCTGTGTTTCTTGCTTCCTCTAGTCCGCAGGTAGCATACAAATGTAATAAACTACTTATTCATGTCACATCTATTTATTTTCTGCCGTATACCAAGCTTGTGGGATTCTCTTAAATACAACATTTTTCTACTTACACCTATGCAATACCCATTAGCATCGCCTTCCTAGATAGAGCAGTTTTGAAACACTCTTTTTGAAGAATCTGCAAATGGATATTTTGTTCACTTTGAGGCCTATGTTGGAAAACGAAATATATTCACATAGAAACAAGATCGAAGTATTCTCAGAAACTTCTTTGTGATGTGTGCATTCAACTCTCAGAGTTGAACTTTTCTTTTGATAGAGCAGTTTTGAAACACTCTTTTTGTAGAATCTGCAAGTTGATATTTGGAAGGTTTGAAGCCTATGCTGGAAAAGGCAATATCTTCGCATAAAAACTAGACAGAAACATACTCAGAAACTTCTTTGTGATGTCTGCTTTCAACTCACAGTGTTTAACCTTTCTTTTGATAGAGCAGTTTTGAAACACTCTTTTTGTAAAATCTGCAAGTGGATATGTGTAGCGCTTTGAGGCCTATGGTGGAAACGGATATATCTACACATAAAAGATAGACAGAAACATTCTCCAAAACTTCTTTGTGATTTTTGCATTCAACTGACAGAGTTGAACATTTCTTTTGATAGAGCAGTTTCTCTTTTCTTTTTTTCCTTTTTAATTAGTATTAAACTTTAAGTTTTAGGGTGCATGTGCACAACGTGCAGGTTAGTTACATATGTATACAAGTGCCATGCTGGTGCTCTGCACCCACTTACTCGTCATCTATCATTAGGTATATCCCCCAATGCTATCCCTCCCCCCTTCCTCCACCCCACAACTGTCCCCAGAGTGTGATGTTCCCCTTCCTGTGTCCATGTGTTCTCATTGTTCAATTCCCACCTATGAGTGAGAATATGCTGTGTTTGGTTTTTTGTTCTTGTGATAGTTTACTGAGAATGATGATTCCCAATTTCATCCATGTCCCTACAAAGGACGTGAACTCGTCATTTTTTATGGCTGCATAGTATTCCATGGTGTATATGTGCCACATTTTCTATATCCAGTCTATCATTGTCGGATATTTGGGTTGGTTCCAAGTCTTTGCTGTTGTGAATAATGCCACAGAAAACATACGTGTGCATGTGTCTTTATAGCAGCATGATTTATAGTCCTTTGGGTATATACCCAGTAATGGGATGGCTGGGTCAAATGGTATTTCTAGTTCTAGATCCCTGAGGAATCGCCACACTGACTTCCACAATGGTTGAACTAGTTTACAGTCCCACCAACAGTGTAAAAGTGTTCCTATTTCTTCACATCCTCTCCAGCACCTGTTTTTTCCTGATTTTTAATGATTGCCATTCTAACTGGTGTGAGATGGTATCTGATTGTGGTTTTGATTTGCATTTCTCTGATGGCCAGTGATGATGAGCATTTTTTCATGTGTGTTTTGGCTGCATATATGTCTTCTTTTGAGAAGTGTCTGTTCATGTCCTTCACCCACGTTTTGATGGGGTTGTTTGTTTTTTTCTTGTAAATTTGTTTGAGTTCATTGTAGATTCTGGATATTAGTCCTTTGTCAGATGAATAGGTTGCGAAAATTTTCTCCCATGTTGTAGGTTGCCTGTTCACTCTGATGGTAGTTTCTTTTACTCTGCAGAAGTTCTTTAGTTTAATTAGATCCCATTTGTCAATTTTGGCTTTGGTTGTCATTGCTTTTGGAGTTTTAGACATGAAGTCCTTGGCCATCCCTATGTCCTGAATGGTAATGACTATGTTTTCTTCTAGGGTTTTTATGGTTTTAAGTCTAATGTTTAAGTCTTTAATCCATCTTGAATTGATTTTTGTATAAGGTGTAAGGAAGGGATCCACTTTCAGCTTTCTACATATGGCTAGCCAGTTTTTCCAGCACCATTTATTAAATAGGGAATCCTTTCCCATTGCTTCTTTTTCTCATGTTTGTCAAAGATCAGATAGTTGTAGACATGTGGCATTATTTCTGAGGGCTCTGTTCTGTTCCATTGATCTCTATCTCTGTTTTGGTACCAGTACCATGCTGTTTTGGTTACTGTAGCCTTGTAGTATAGTTTGAAGTCAGGTAGTGTGATGCCTCCAGCTTTGTTCTTTTGGCTTAGGATTGACTTGGTGATGTGGGCTCTTTTTTGGTTCTATATGAACTTTAAAGTAGTTTTTTTCAATTCTGTGAAGAAAGTCTTTGGTAGCTTGATGGGGATGGCATTGAATCTGTAAATTACCCTGGGCCTTATGGCCATTTTCACGATATTGATTCTTTCTACCCACTCCCATTCAACACAGTGTTGAAAGTTCTGGCCAGGGCAATTAGGCAGGAGAAGGAAATAAAGGGTATCCAATTAGGAAAAGAGGACGTCAAATTGTCCCTGTTTGCAGACGACATGATTGTATATCTAGAAAACCCCATTGTCTCAGCCCAAAATCTCCTTAAGCTGAAAAGCAACTTCAGCAAAGTCACAGGACACAAAATCAATGTAAAAAAAATCACAAGCATTCTTACACACCAAAAACAGACAAACAGAGAGCCAAATCATGAGTGAACTCCCATTCATAGTTGCTTCAAAGAGAATAAAATACAAGGGAGGTGAAGGACCTCTTCAAGGAGAACTACAAACCACTGCTCAAGGAAATAAAAGAGGATACAAACAAATTGAAGAACATTCCATGCACATGGGTAGGATAGAGGAGTTGTCAAACACTCGTTTTGTAGAATCTGCAAGTGGATATTTGGTTCCCTTTGAGGCCTATGTTGGAAAAGAAAATATCTTCACATCAAAAATAGACAGAAGCATTCTCAGAAACTTCTTTGTGATGTGTGCATTCATCTCAAGGAGTTGAAACTTTCTCTTGATAGAGCAGTTTTGAAACACTCATTTTGTAGAACATGGAAGTGGATATTTGGAGCACTTTGAGTCCTATAGGAAATAACTTCATATAAAAACAAGACAGAAACATTCTCAGAAACTTCCTTGTAATTGGTACATTCAACTCACAGATTTGAACATTTCTTTTGACACAGCAGTTGTGAAACACCATTTTGGTAGAATCTGCAAGGGGATAGTTTGTTCCCTTTGAGGTCTATGTTGGAAAAAGAAATATCTTCACATAAAAAAAGACACAAGCATTCTCAGAAACTTTTTTGTGATGTGTGCATTCAACTCACAGAGTTGAACCTTTCTTTTGATAGAGCAGTTTTGAAACACTCTCTTTGTCCAATCTGCAAGTTGATATTTGGAGCGCTTTGAGGCCTATGGTGGAAAAGGAAATATCTTCACATAAAAACTAGAGAGAAGCATTCTCAGAAACTCTTTTGTGATGTGCACATTCAACTCACAAAAATGGATCTTTCCTTTGATGCAGCTGTTTTGAAACACTCTTTTTGTATAATCTGCAAATGGGCATTTTGAGCCCTTTGAGGCCTATGATGGAAAAGGAATTATCTTCACATAATAACTAGACAGAAGCATTCTCAGAAACTTGATTGTAATGTGTGCATTCAACTCACAGAGTTGAACCTTTCTTTTGATAGAGCAGTTTGAAACACTCTTTTTGGAGAATCTGCAGGTGGATATTTTGTTCCCTGTGAGGTCTATGTTGGAAAACGAAATATCTTCACATAAAGACTAGACAGAAGCATTCTCAGAAACTTCTTTGTGATGTGTGCATTCAACTCAGAGAGTTGAACATTTCTTTTGATACAGCTCTTTTCAAACACTCCTTTGTAGAATCTGCAAGTGGATATTTTGTTCCCTTTGAAACCTATGTTGGAAAAGGAAATACGTTCACATAAAAACTACACAGAAGGTTTCTCAGAAACTTCTTTTTGTTGTGTGCATTCAGCTCACAGAGTTGAACATTTCTTTTGATACAGCAGTTTTGAAACATTCTTTTTTTAGAATCTGCAGGTGGATATATGGAGCACTTTGAGGCCTATGGTAGACAAGGAAATACCTTCATACAAAAAATAGACAGAAGCATTCTCAGGAACTACTTAGTGATGTGTGCATTCAACTCACAGAGTTGAACCTTTCTTTGATAGAGCAGTTCTGAAACACTCTTTTTATAGAATCTGCAAGTGGATATATGGAGCGCTTTGAGGCCTTCAGTGGAAACGGGAATATCTTCACATAAATACTAGACAGAAAACATTCTTAGCAATTTCTTTTTGATGTGCACACTCAACAAACAGAGTTGAACCTTTCTTTTGATAGAGCAGTTTTGAAACACTCTTTTTGTAGAATATGCAAGAGGATATTTGGAGGGTTTTGAGGCCTCCTGTGGAAACGGGAATATCTTCACCTAAAAACTACACAGAAGCATTCTCAAAAACTTCTTTGTGTTGTGTGCATTCAACACACAGAGTTGAACCTTCTATTCGATAGAGCAGTTTTGAAAAGCTCTTTTTGTAGAATCTGCAAGTGGCCATTTGGAGAGCTTTGAGGCCTATGGTGGAAAAGGAAATATCTTCACATAAAAACCAGACAGAAACATTCTCAGAAACTTCTTTGTGATGTGTGCATTCAACTCACACATTTGAACACGCCTTTTCATAGAGCTGTTTTGAAACACTCTTTTTGTAATATCTGCAACTGGATATTTGGGCCGGTTTGAGGCTTTCATTGGAAATGGCAATATCTTCACATAAAATTAGACAGAACCAGTCTCAGAAACTTCTTTGTGATGGGAACATTAAACACTCAGTGTTGAACATTTCGTTTCATAGAGTATCTTTGAAACACCCTTTTAATAGCATCTTCAAGTTGATATTTGGACCGCTTTTAGGCCTTCTTTGGAAATGGGAATATCACCACCTGAAAACTAGAGAGAAGCATTCGCAGTAACTTCTTTGTGATTTTTTCATTGAACACACAGAGTTGAAGCTTCCTTTTGATAGAACAGTTTGGAAACGGTCTTTTTGTAAAATCTTCAAGTGGATATATTGAGTGCTTTGAAGACTTCGGCGGAAAGGGGAATATCTTCACATAAAAACTAGACAAAACCATTCTCAGAAACTTCTTTGAGATGTGTGCATTCAGCTCACAGAGTTGAAACTTCCTTTTGATAGAGCAGTTATGAAACAATCTTTTTTTAGAATCTGCAAGTGGATATATGGATCGCTTTGAGGCTTATGGAAGAAAAGGAAATATCTTCATATAAAAACTAGACAGAAGCATTCTTAGAAACTACTTACTGATGTGGGCATTCAACTCTCAGAGCTGAACCTTTCTTTTGATAGAGCAGTTTTTAAACACTAGTTTTGTAGAATCTGCAAGTGGATACATGGAGCACTTTGAGGCCTATGGAAGAAAAGGAAATATCTTCATATAATAAGTAGACAGAAGCATTCTAAGAAACTATTTGTGATGTGTGCTTTCAACTCACAGAGTTGAACCTTTCTTTTGATAGAGCAGTTTTGAAACACTCTTTTTGTATAATCTGCAAGTGGACATTTGGAGCACTTTGAGGCCTGTGGTGGAAAAGAAATATCTTCATATAAAAACTAGACAGAATCATTCTCAGAAACTACTTTTTGATGTGTGCATTCAACTCACAGAGTTCAACCTTTCTTTTGATAGAGCAGTTTGCAAACATTCTTTTTGAAGGATCTGCAAGTGGATATATGGAGCCCTTTGAGGCCTTCAGTGGAAACAGGATTATCTTCACATAAAAACTAGACAGAAGCATTCTCAGAAACTTCTTTGTGATGTGTGCACTTAACTCACAGAGTTGAACCGTTCTTTTGATAGAGCAGATCTGAAACACTCTTTTTGTAGAATCTGCTAGTGGATGTTTGGAGGGTATTGAGGCCTACGATGGCAAGGGGAATATCTTCACTTAAAAACTAGACAGAAGCATTCTCAGAAACTTCTTTGTGATGTGTGCCTTCAGCTCACAGAGTTGAACTTTTGTTTTGATAGAGCAGTTTTGAAACACTATTTTTGTAGAATCTGCAAGTGAATATTTGGAGGGCTTTGAGGCCTATGGTTGAAACAGGAATATCTTCACCTAAAAACTAGACAGAAGCATTCTCAGAAACTTCTTTGTGATGTGTGCATTCAGCTCACAGAGTTGAACCTTCCTTTAGATAGAACCGTTTTGAAACACTCTTTTTGTAGATTCTGCAAGTGGATATTGGAGGGCTTTGAGGCTTACTTTTGAAACGGGAATATCTTCACCTAAAAACTAGACAGAAGCATTCTCAGAAACTTCTTTGTGATGTGTCCATTCAACTCACATAGTTGAACCTTCCTTTTGATAGAGCAGTTGTGGAACACTCTTTTTTAGAACCTGCAAGTGGATATATGGAGCGATTTGAGGCCTATGGTAGAAAATGAAATATCTTCATATAAAAACTAGACAGAAGCATTCTCAGAAACTACTATGTGATGTCTTCATTCAACTCACAGATTTGAACCTTCCTTTGATAGAGCAGTGTTGAAACACTCTTTTTGTAGAATCTGCATGTGGATATATGAAGCACTATGTGGTCTATGGAAGAAAAGGAAATATCTTCATATAAAAACTAGACAGAAGCACTATCAGACACTAATTAACGATGTGTACATTCAACTCACAACGTTGAAACTTTCTTTTGATAGAGCAGTTTTGAAACATTCTTTTCGTAGAATCTGCAAGTGGATATACGGAGCACTTTGAGGCATTCGGTGGCAATGGGAATATCTTAACATAAAAAGTTGACAGAAACATTTCAGAAACTTCTTTGTGATGCACGCACTCAACTCAAAGAGTTAAACCTTTCTTTTGATAGAGAAGTTTTGAAACACTCTTTTTGTACAATCTGCAAGTGGGTATGTAGAGTGCTTTGAGGCCTTAGGTAGAAAAGGAAATATCTTCGTATCAAAACTAGACAGAAGCATTTGGTGATGTGTGCATTCAACTCAAGAGCTGAACCTTTCTTTTGATAGAGCAGTTTTGAAACACTCGTTTTGTATAATCTGCAAGCTGATATTTGGATAGCTTTGAGGCTTTTGTTGGAAATGGGAATATCTTCACAAAAAAACTAGACAGAAGCATTCTCAGAAACCACTTTGTGATGTGTGCATTCAACTCACAGTATTGAACCTTTCTTTTGATAGAGCAGCTTGGAAACACTCTTTTTGTAGAATCTGCAAGTGGCCATTTGGAGGACTTTGAGGCCTATGGTGGAAAGGGAAATATATTCACATGAAAACTAGACAGAAGCATTCTCAGAAACTTCTTTGTGATGTGTGCATTCAACTCACACATTTGAACTCACCTTTTCATAGAGCGGTTTTGAAACACTCTTTTTGTAGTATCTGCAAGTGGATATATAGAGAGCTTTGAGGCCTTTGGTAGAAAAGGAAATATCTTCATATAAAAACTAGACAGAAGCAGTTGGCCATGTGTGCATTCAACTCACAGAGTTGAACCTTTCTTTTGATAGAGCAGTTTTGAAACACTCGTTTTGTATAATCTGCAAGTTGATATTTGGGACATTTTGTGGCCTTCGTTGGAAACGGGAATATCTTGACATAAAAACTAGACAGAAGCCTTCTCAGGAACTTCTTTGTGATGTATGCATTCAACTCACAGAGTTGAACATACCTTTTAATAGAACAGTTTTGAAGCACTCTTTTTCTAGGATCTGCAAGTGGACATTTGGAACATTTTGAGGCCTGTGGTGGAAAAGTAAATATCGTCATATAAAATCGAGACAGAAGCATTCTCAGAAACTACTTTGTGATGTGTTCATTCAACTCACAGAGTTGAAGCTTTATTTTGATAGAACAGCTTTGTAACACTCTGTTTGTGGAATCTGCAAGTGGACATTTGGAGAGCTTTGAGGCCTATGGTGGACAAGGAAATATCTTCACATAAAAGCTAAACAGAAACATTCTTAGAAACTTCTTTGTGATGTGTGCATTCAACTCACACATTTGAACACACCTTCTCATAGAGCAGTTCTGAAACACTCTTTTTGTAATATCTGCAAGTGGATATTTGGGCAGGTTTGAGGCTTTCATTGGAAAGGGCAATATCTTTCCATAAAATTAGACACAACCATTCTCAGAAAGTTCTTTGTGATGTGAGCATTCAACTCACAGTGTCCAACCTTTCTTTTAATAGAGTAGTATTAAAACACTCTTTTTGTAGCATCTGCAAGTTGATATTTGGACCACTTTGAGTCCTTCGTTGGAAACGGGAATATCATCACCTGAAAACTAGAGAGAAGAATGCTCAGTAACTTCGTCGTTATTTGTGCATTCAACACACAGAGTTGAAGCTTCCTTTTGTTAGAGCAGTTTTGAAACACTCTTTTTGTAGAATCTGCAAGTGGATATATTGAGTGCTTTGCGGCCTTTGGTGGAAACGGGAATATCGTCACATAAAAACTAGACAGAAGCATTCTCAGAAACTTCTTTGTGATGTGTGCATTCAACTCACATAGTTGAACCTTCCTTTTGATAAAGCAGATTTGAAACACTATTTTTGTAGAAACTGCAAGTGGACATTTGGAGGGCTTTGAGGCTTATGGTTGAAACGGGAATAACTTCACCTAAAAATTAGACAGAAGCATTCTCAGAAACTTTTTTGTGATGTGTGCACTCAACTCACAGAGTTGAAACTTTCGTTTGATAGAGCAGTGTTGAAACACTCTTTTTGTGGAATCTGCAAGTTGATATATGGTGTGCTTTGAGGTCTATGGAAGAAAAGAAAATATCTTCATATAAAAACTAGACAGAAGCATTCTTCGAAAGTACTTAATGATGTGCACATTCAACCAACAGAGTTGAAACTTTCTTTTGATAGATCAGTTTTGAAACACTCTTTTCGTAGAATCTACAATTGGATATACAGAGCAATTTGAGGACTTTGAGGCCTTCGTTGGAAACGGGAATATCTTCACATAAAAACTAGACAGAAGCATTCTCAGAAACTTCTTTGTGTTGTGTGCATTCAACTCACAGAGTTGAACATACCTTTTGATAGAACAGTTTTGAAGCACTCTTTTTGTACAATCTGCTAGTGGACATTTGGAGCACTTTGAGGCCTGTGGTGGAAAAGTAAATATCTTCATATAAAATCGTGACAGAAGCATTCTCAGAAACTACTTTGTGATGTGTTCATTCAACTCACAGAGTTGAAGCTTTCTTTTGATAGAACAGCTTTGTAACACTCTTTTTGTGGAATCTGCAAGTGGACATTTGGAGAGCTTTGAGGCCTGTGGTGGAAAAGGAAATATCTTCACATAAAAACTAGACAGAAGCATTATCAGAAATTACTTTGCGATGTGTGCATTCAACTGACACATTTGTACACACATTTTCATAGAGCTGTATTGAAACACTCTTTGTAGCATCTGTAAGTGGATATTTGGGCCGCTTTGAGACTTTCATTGGAAACGGCAATATCTTCACATAAAATTAGACAGAACCATTCTCAGAAACTTCATTGTGATGTGAGCATTCAACTCACGGTGCTGAACCTTTTCTTTAATAGAGTAGTTTTGAACCATTCTTTTTGTAGCATCTGCAAGTTGATATTTGGACCGCTTTGAGGCCGTCGTTGGAAACGGGAATAACATCACCTGAAAACTAGAGAGAAGAATTCACAGTAACTTCTTTGTGATTTATGCATTCAACACACAGAGTTGAAGCTTCCTTTTGATGGAGCAGTTTTGAAAAACTCTTCTTGTAAAATCTTCAAGTCGATATATTGAGCGCTTTGAGGCCTTTGGTGGAAACGGGAATATCTTCACATAAAAACTAGACAGAAGCATTCTCAGAAACTTCTTTGTGATGTGTACATTCAGCTCACACAGTTGAATCTTCCTTTTGATAGAGCAGTTTTGAAACAGTCTTTTTGTAGAACCTGCAAGTGGACATTTGGAGGGCTTTGAGGCCTATGGTTGAAACGGGAATATCTTCACATAAAAATTAGCAGAAGCATTCTCAGAAACTTCTTTGTGATGTGTACGTTCAACTCAGAGAGTTGAACCCTTCTTTTGATAGAGCAGTGTTGAAACACTCTTTTTGTAGAATCTGTAAGTGGATATATAGTGTGCTTTGAGGCCTATGGAGGAAAAGGAAATATCTTCACATAAAAGCTAGAAGGAAACATTCTCAGAAACTTCGTTGTGCTGTGTGCTTTCTACTCACATAGTTGAAATTTTCTTCTGATACTGCAGTTTTGAAACAGTCTTTTTGAGGAATCTTCAAGTGGGCATTTTGAGGACTTTGGGGACTATTGTGGATAAGGAAATATCTTCACATAAAAACTAGACAGAAGTGCTCTCAGAAACTTCATTTTGATGTGTGCATTCAACCCCCAAAGTAGAACCTTCCTTTTATAGAGAAGTTTTGAAACAGTCTTTTTGTAGAGTCTGCAAGTGGACATTTGGAGCGCTTTGAAGCTTTCATTAGAAACAGGAATATCTTCACATAAAAACTAGACAGAAACATTCTCAGAAACTTCTTTTTGATGCGAGCATTGAACTTACAGAGCTGAAACTTCCTTTTGATTGAGCAGTTTTGAAAAACTTTTTTTGTATTATCTGCAGGTGGATATTTGGGGCTCTTTGAATCCTTCATTGGAAACGGGAATATCTTCACATAAAAACTAGAAAGAAGCATTCTCAGAAACCAGTTTGTGATGTGTGCTTTCAACTTCGTTGAACCTTCGTTTTGATAGAGCAGTTTTGAAATACTTATTTTGTAGAATCTGCAAGTGGATATTTGGAGCGAATTGAAGCCTTCATTGAAAATGGGAATATCTTCACATAAAAACTAGAGAGAAGCATTCTGAGAACCTACTTTGTGATGTGTGCATTCAACTCACAATGTTTAACGTTCCTTTTGATAGAGCAGTTTTGAAACACTCTTTTGTAGAATGTGCATATGGATATTTGGAGCGAATTGAAGCCTTCGTTGGAAATGGGCATATCTTCATATAAAAACTAGACAGAAACATTCTCAGAAACTTCTTTGTGATGTGTGCATTCAACTCACAGAGCTGAACCTTCCCTTAGATGGAGGAGTTTTGAAACACTCTTTTTGTAGAATCTGCAAGTGGAAATTTGGACTGCTTTGAGACCTACGGTAGAACAAGAAAAATCTTCATATAAAATCTACACTGAAGCATTCTCAGAAACCACTTTGTGATGACTGTATTCTACTCCCAGAGTTGAACCTTTCTTTTAATAGAGCAGTTTAGAAACACTCTTTTTGTAGAATCTGCATGTGGACATTTGGAGCACTTTGAAGCCTCCGTTGGAAACATGAATATCTTCACATAAAAACTAGACAGAAACATTCTCAGAAACTTCTTTGTGATGTGTGCATTCAACTCACAGATTTCAACCTTCTTTTTGATAGAGCAGTTTTGAAACACTCTTTTTGTAGAATCTGCAGGTGAACATTTGGAGCTCTTTGGGGCCTTCCGTGGAAAAGGATATACCTTCATATTAAAACTAGGCAGAAGCATTCTGAGAAACTTCTTTGTGATGAGTGCATTCAACTCAAAGAGTTGAAGTTTCCTTTTGATAGAGCAGTTTTGAAACACTCTTTTTGTAGAATCTGCAGGTGTATATTTGGAGCGCTTTGAAACCTTCGTTGGAAACGGGAATATCTTCACATAAAAATTACACAGAAACATTCTCAGAAATTTCTTTGCAATGTGTGCTTTCAACTTACAGAACTGAACCTTTCTTTTGATAGTGCAGTTTTGAAACACTCTTTTTATAGAATCTGCAGTTGGACATTTGGAGCTCTTTTAGGCTTTCAGTGGAAAAGGAAATATCTTCACATTAAAACTAGACATAAGCATTCTCAGAAACTTCTTTGTGATGTGTGCATTCAACTCACAGAATTGAATCTTCATACAAAAACTAGACAGAAGCACTCACAGAAACTACTTTGTGATGTGTCCATTCTACTCTCACAGTTGAAACTTTCTTCTGATAGAGCAGATTGGAAACAGTCTTTGTGAAGAATCTTCAAGTGGGCATTTGGAGGGCTTTGACAGCTATTGTCAAAAAGGAAATATCTTCACATAAAAAGTAGACAGAAGTATTCTCATAAAATTCATTTTGATGTGTGCATTCAACTCACAAAGTAGAACTTTACTTTCGATAGAGCAGTTTTGAAACACTCTTTTTGTAGAATCTGCAAGTGGATATTTGGAGCACTTTGAAGCTTTCATTGAAAACTGGAATATCTTCACTTAAAAACTAGATGGAAGCATTCTCAGAAACTTCTTTCTGTTGTGTGCATTGAACCCACAGAGCTGAACTTTTCTTTTTATACAACAGTTTTGAAACACTCTTTTTGTAGCATCAGCAGGTGGATATTTGGAGCGCTTTGAAGCCTTTGTTGGAAACGGGAATATCTTCACATAAAAACTAGACAGAAGCATTCTCACAAACTTATTTGTGATGTGTGCATTCAACTTACAGAATTGAACCTTCCTTTTGATAGAGCAGTTTTGAAACACTCTTTTTGTACAATCTGCAATAGGATATTTTGAGCTCTTTGAAGCCTTCATTGGAAATGGGAATATCTTCACATAAAAACTAGACAGAAGCATTCTCAGAAACTTCTTTGTGATGCTTGCATTCAACTCACAGATTTGAACGTTCCTTTTGATAGAACAGTTTTGAAACACTCTGTTTGTAGAATCTAAAAGTGGGTATTTTGAGTGCATTGAGGCCTGTGGTAGAAAAGGAAATATCTTCAGATAAAAACTAGACAGAAGCATTCTCAGAAGCGACTTTGTGATGTGTGCATTCTACTCCCATAGTTGAACCTTTCTTTTGATAGAGCAGTCTGGAAACACTCTTTTTGTCGAATCTGCAAGTGGACATTTGGAGCGCTTTGAAGGCTATGGTGGAAAAGGAAATATCTTCACATAAAAACTAGATGGAAGCATTCTCAGAAACTTCTTTGTGTTGTGTTCATTCAACTCACATAGTTGAACTTTACTTTTGATAGAGCAGTTTGGAAGCCCTTTTTTATTAAGTCTGCAGGAGGATATTTGGAGCTCTTTGAATCCTTCGTTGGAAACGGGAATAGCTTCATATAAATACTAGAAAGAAGCATTCTCAGAAACCACTTTGTGATGTGTGCATTCAACTCACACAGTTGAACCTTCCTTTTGATAGAGCAGTTTGGAAACACTCTTTTTGTAGAATGTGCATGTAGATATTTGTACCGAATGGAAGCCTTCATTTGAAATAGGAATATCTTCACCTAAAAACTAGATGGAAGCATTGTCAGAAAGTCCTTTGTGATGTGTGCATTCAACTCACAGAACTGAACCTTCCTTCAGACAGAGAAGTTTTGAAACACTCTTTTTGTAGAATCTGCATTTACATCTTTGGAGCGCTTTGAAGTCTTCGTTGGAAACGCAAATATCTTCACATAAAAACTAGACAGAGCCATTCTCAGAAAATTATTTGTGATGTGTGCATTCAACTCACAGAGTTGAACCATCTTTTTGATAGAGCAGTTTTGAAACAGTCTTTTTGTAGAATCTGGAGGCGCATATTTAGAGTGCTTTGAAGCCTTCCTTGGAAACGGGATTATCTTCACATAAAAACTAGACAGCTTTCTACATATGGCTAGCCAGTTTTCCCAGCACCATTTATTAAAGAGGGAATCCTTTCCCCATTGCTTGTTTTTCTCAGGTTTGTCAAAGATCAGATACTAGTAGATATGCGGCATTATTTCTGAGGGCTCTGTTCTGTTCCATTGATCTATATCTCTGTTTTGGTACCAGTACCATGCTGTTTTGGTTACTGGAGCCTTGTAGTATAGTTTGAAGTCAGGTAGTGTGATGCCTCCAGCTTTGTTCTTTTGGCTTAGGATTGACTTGGTGATGCGGGCTCTTTTTTGGTTCCATATGAACTTTAAAGTAGTTTTTTCCAATTCTGTGAAGAAAGGCATTGGTAGCTTGATGGGGATGGCACTGAATCTGCAAATTACCTTGGGCAGTATGGCCATTTTCACGATATTGATTCTTCCTACCCATGAGCATGGAATGTTCTTCCATTTGTTTGTATCCTCTTTTATTTCCTTGAGTAGTGGTTTGTAGTTCTCCTTGAAGAGGTCCTTCACATCCCTTGTAAGTTGGATTCCTAGGTATTTTATTCTCTTTGAAGCAATTGTGAATGGGAGTTCACTCATGATTTGGCTCTCTGTTTGTCTGTTGTTGGTGTATAAGAATGCTTGTGATTTTTGTACATTGATTTTGTATCCTGAGACTTTGCTGAAGTTGCTTATCGGCTTAAGGAGATTTTGGGCTGAGACAATGGGGTTTTCTAGATATACAATCATGTTGTCTGCAAACAGGGACAATTTGACTTCCTCTTTTCCTAATGGAATACCCTTTATTTCCTTCTCCTGACTAATTGCCCTGGCCAGAACACTATGTTGAATAGGAGAGGTGAGAGAGGGCATCCCTGTCTTGTGCCAGTTTCAAAGGGAATGCTTCCCGTTTTTGCCCATTCAGTACGATATTGGCGGTGGGTTTGTCATAGATAACTCTTATTATTTTGAAATACATCCCATCAATACCTAATTTATTAAGAGTTTTTAACATGAAGGGTTGTTGAATTTTGTCAAAGGGCTTTTCTGCATCTATTGAGATAATCATGTGGTTTTTTTCTTTGGTTCTGTTTATATGCTGGATTACATTTATTGATTTGCATATATTGAACCAGCCTTGCATCCCAGGGATGAAGCCCACTTGATCATGGTGGATAAGCTTTTTGATGTGCTGCTGCATTCTTTTTGCCAGTATTTTATTGAGGATTTTTGCATCAATGTTCATCAAGGTTATTGGTCTAAAATTCTCTTTTTTTGAAAGCTGAAACTGGATCCCTTCCTTACACCTTATACAAAAATCAATTCAAGATGGATTAAAGACTTAAACGCTAGACCTAAAACCATAAAAACCCTAGAAGAAAACCTTGACATTACCATTCAGGACACAGGCATAGGCAAGGACTTCATGTCTAAAACACCAAAAGCAATGGCAACAAAAGACAAAATTGACAAATGGGATCTAATTAAACTGAAGAGCTTGTGCACAGCCAAAGACACTATCATCAGAGTGAACATGCAACCTACAAAATGGGAGAAAATTTTCGCAACCTACTCATCTGACAAAGGGCTAATATCCAGAATTTACAATGAACTCAAACAAATTTACAAGAAAAAAATAAACAACCCCATCAAAAAGTGGGCAAAGGACGTGAACAGACACTTTTCAAAAGAAGACATTTATGCAGCCAAAAACACATGAAAAAATGCTCATCACCACTGGCCATCAGAGAAATGCAAATCAAAACCACAATCAGATACCATCTCACACCAGATAGAATGGCAATCGTTAAAAAGTCAGGAAACAACAGGTGCTGGAGAGGATGTGGAGAAATAGGAACACTTTTACACTGTTGGTGGGACTGTAAACTAGTTCAACCATTGTGGAAGTCAGTGTGGCGATTCCTCAGGGATCTAGAACTGGAAGTACCATTTGACCCAGCCATCCTATTACTGGGTATATACCCAAAGGACTATAAATCATGCTGCTATAAAGACATATGCACACGTATGTTTATTGCAGCATTATTCACAATAGCAAAGACTTGGAACCAACCCAAATGTCCAACAATGATAGATTGGATTAAGAAAATGTGGCACATATACACCATGGAATACTATGCAGCCATAAAAAATGATGAGTTCATGTCCTTTGTAGGGACATGGATGAAATTGGAAATCATCATTCTCAGTAAACTATTGCAAGAACAAAAAACCAAACACCGCATATTCTCTCTCATAGTTGGGAATTGAACAATGAAATCACATGGACACAGGAAGGGGAACTTCACACTCTGGGGACTGTTGTGGGGTGGGGGGAGGGGTGAGGGATAGCATTGGGAGATATATCTAATGCTAGATGACGAGTTGGTGGGTGCAGCGCATCAGCATGGCACATGTATACATATGTATCTAACCTGCACAATGTGCAAATGTACCCTAAAACTTAAAGTATAAAAAGAAAAAAGAAAAAAAAAAACTAGTCAGAATCATTCTGAGAAGCTTCTCTGTGATGTGTGTATTCAACTCACAGAGTTAAACATATCTTTTGATGGAGCAGTTCAGAATCTCTCTTTTTGTAGAATCTGCAAGTGGATATTTGGAGCTCTTTGCATCCTAGGGTTGAAAAGGAAATATCTTCACGTAAAAAGTACACATAATCATTCTCAGAAATTTCTTCATGATATGTGCATTCAACTCACAGAGTTGAACATATATTTTGATGGAGCAGTTTTGAATCTCTCTTTTTGTACAATCTGACAGTGGATATGTGGAGAGCTATGACGCCTACTGTGTATAATCAAATAGCTTCATACGAAAACTACACAGAAGCATTCTGAGAATCTTCTTTTTGATGTGTGCATTCATATCACAGACGTGAACCTTTCTTTTGATTGAGCCCATTTGAAATACACTTTTTGTAGTGTCTGCAGGTGGATATTTGTTGCCCTTTACACCCTATGGTGGAAAAGGAAATATCTTCAAATAAAAACTACACAGAAGCATTCAGAGAAACTCCTTTATGATGTATGCATTCACCTCACGGAGTTGAACCTAACTCTTGATTGAGCAGTCTTGAATGTCTTTTTTTGCAGAATCTGCAGGTGGCTATTTGGTGCCTTTTGAGGCCTGCTGTGGGACAGCAAATATCTTCACATAAAAACTACACAGAAGCATTCTGAGAAACTTCATTGTGATCTGTCCAATCAACTCACAGAGTGGAACCTATCTTTTGAATGAGCAGTTTTAAATCTCTCCTTTTACAGATTCTGCAAGTGGATGTTCGGAGAGCTTTGAGGCCTATTGTGGAAAAGGGAATATCTGAGAAGCATTCTGAGAAACTTCTTTGGGAGGTGTGCGTTCAACTCACAGAGATGAACTTATCTTCTCATTGAGCAGTTTTGAATCTTACTTCCTGTAGAATCTGCAAGAAGGTATTTGGAGCGCTTTGAGGCCAACCGTGGAAAAGCAAATATATTCAGGTAAAAACTACACAGAAGCATTCTTGGAAACTTCTTTGTGATGCGCGTATTCGTCTCACAGAGTTGAACCTTTCTTTTGATTGAGCAGTTTTGAAACACTCTTTTTGAAGAATCTGCAAGTGGATATTTGGAGCCTTTTGAGGCCTGTTGTGGAAAAGGAAATATCTTCACATAAAAGCTACACAGAGGCATTCTGAGAAACTTCTTGTGATGTGTGCATTCAACTCACAGAGTTAAACCTATCTTTTGATTGAGCAGTGAAAAACTCTTTTTTTGTAGATTGTGCAAGTGTATATTTGGAGCCCTTTGAGTCCTATTGTGGAAGGGAAATATCTTCACATAAAAACTACTCAGAAACATTCTGAGAAACTTCTTTGTGATGTGTGCATTCAACTCACTGATTTGAACCTATCTTTTGATTAAGCAGTTTAGAATCTCTTTTTGTGTAGAATCTGCATTTGGTATTTTTACCCCTTTGCACCCTCTGGTGAAAAAAGAAATATCTTCAAATAAAAACTACCCAGAAGCATTCTCAGAAACTTCTTGGTTGTGTGTGCTTTCAACTCACAGAGTTGAAACTGTCTTTTGAGAGATCAGTTTTTAATCTCTCTTTTTGCAGAATCTGCAAGTGGATGTTTGGAGAGCTATGAGGCCTATTGTGGAAATGGAAATATCTCTACATGAAAACCACAGAGAAGCATTCTGAGAAGCTTCTTTGTGAGCTGTGCATTCAACTCACCGAGTTGAATTTAGCTTCTAAAAGAGCACTTTTGAATCTCTGTTTTTGTAGTATCTGCAATTGGATATTTGGAACCCTTTGCACCCTGTAGTGGAAAAGGAAATATCTTCAAATAAAAACTACACAGAAGCATTCTCAGAAACTTCTTCGTGATGTCTGCATTCAACACACACTGTTGAACCTATCTTTTGATTGAGCAGTTTTGAATCTCTCTTGTGGAAACTGCAAGTGGATATTTGGAGTGATGTGAGGCCTACTGTGGAAAACCAAATACGTTCACATAAAACCTACAAAGAATCATTCTGTGAAACTTCGTTGTGATGTGTGCATTTAACTCATAGAGTTGAACCTATGTTTCGTTTAAGCAGTTTGGAATCTCTCTTTTTGCAGAATCTGCAAATGGATGTTGGGAGAGCTTTGAGGCCTAGAGTGGAAAAGTAAATATCTTCACATGAAAACTACAGAGAAGCATTCTGAGAAACGTCTTCATGAGGTGTGCATTCAACTCACAGATCTGAAGTTATCTTCTCATTGAGCAGTTTTGAAACTCATCATTTTTAGAATCTGCAAGTTGATATTTGGAGCCCTTTGCGCCCATTGGTGGAAAAGGAAATATCTTCAAATAAAAACTACATAGAAACATTCTGAGAAGCTTCTTGGTGATGTGTGCCTTCATCTCACAGGGTTGAACCTATCTTATGATTGAGCAGTTTTGAAACACTCTTTTTGCAGAATCTGCAAGTGGATATTTGGAGCCCTTTGCCGCCTTTGGTGTAAAAGGAAATATCTTCAAATAAAAACTACTGAGAAGCATTCTGAGAAACTTCTTTGTGATGTGTGCATTCACCTCACAGAGTTGAACCTATCTTTTGATTGAGCAGTTTAGAATCTCTTTTTCTAGAATCTGCAAGTGGATATTTGTAGCGCTGTGAGGCCTACTGGGTAAAATCAAATGTGTTCACAGAAAAACTACACAGCGTTCTCAGAAACGTCTTTGTGATGTGTGGATTCAACTCACAGAGTTGGACCTATCTTTTGATAGAGCAGATTTGAATCTCTCTTTTTGCAGAATCTGCAATTGGATGTTTGGAGAGCTTTTATGCCTCTTGTGGAAAAGGAAATATCTTCACATAAAAACTACACAGAAGCACTTTGAGAAACTTCTTTGAGAGGTGTGCATTCAATTCATAGAGTTGAACTTATCTTGTCAGTTAGCAGTATTCCATCTCTCTTTGTGTAGATTCTGCAAGTGGATATTTGGAGCCCTTTGCACCCTGTGGTGGAAAAGAAATTATCTTCAAATAAAAACTACACAGAAGCATTGAGAGAAACTCCTTTGTGATGTATGCATTCAACTCACAGAGTTGAACATATATTTTCAATGAGCAGTTTTGAATCTCTCTTTTTGTAGAATCTGCATCTGGTTATTTGGAGCCCTTTGAGGCCTACTGTGGAAAAGCAAATATTTTCAAATAAAAACTACACAGAAGCATTCAGAGAAACTTCTTTGTGATGTATGCATAGAACTTACAGAGTTGAACCTATCTTTTGATTGAGCAGTTTTGAATCTCTCTTTTTGCAGAATCTGCAGGTGGATATTTGGAGCCCTTTGATGGCTACTGTGGAAAAGCAAATATCTTCAAATAAAAACTACACAGTAGCATTGTGTGAAACTTCTTGGGGATGTGTGCGTTCATCTCACAGAGTTGAAACTATATTTTGATTAGGCAGTTTTGAATCTGTCTCTTTGCAGAATCTGCAAGTGCATATTAGGAGCCCTTTGCGGTCTATGGTGGAAAAGGAAATATCTTCAAATAAAAACTACACAGAAGAATTATCAGAAACTTCTTCATGATGTGTGCATTCAACTCACAGAGTTGAACCTATGCTTTGATTCAGCAGTTTTGAATCTCTCTTTTTGGAGAATCTGCAAGTGGGCATTTAGAGCTCTTTGAGGCTTACTGTGGAAAAGCAAATATTTTCACATAAAAACTACAAAGAAGCATTCTGAGGAACTTCTTTTTGATGTGTGCATTCAACTCACAGAGTTGAATCTATACTTTGATTGAGCAGTTTTGAATCTCTCTTTTTAGAGAATCTCCAAGTGGACATTTGGAGCACTTTGATGCCTATTGTGGAAAAGGAAATATCTTCACATAAAAAGTACTCAGAAGCATTCTGAGAAACTTCTTTGTGATGTGTGCATTCAACTCACAGTGTCCAGCCTCTCGTGATTGAGCAGTTTTGAATCTCTCTTTTTGTAGAATCTGCAAGTGGATATTTGGAGCCCTTTGTGGCCTATGGTGGAAAGGAAATATCTTCCAATTAAAACTACACAGATGCATTCTGAGAAACTTCTCCATGATGTGTGCATTGAACTCACAGCGTCAAACCTATCTTACGATTGAGCAGTTTTGACACTCTTTTTGTAGAATCTGCAGGTGGATATTTGGCGTGCCTTGAGGCCTATTGTGGAAAAGGAAATATCTTCATATAAAAACTACACAGAAGCATTCTGAGAAACTTCTTTTTGATGTGTGCATTCAATTCACAGAGTTGAATCTTTCTTTTGATTGAACAGTTTTGAAACACTCTTTTTGTACAATCTGCAAGTGGATAATTGGAGCCCTTTGAGGCCTATTGTGGAAAAGGAAATATCTTCACATAAAAACTACTCAGAAGCATGCTGAGAAACTTCTTTGTGATGTGTGCATTCAACTCACAGAGTTGAACCTATCTTTTGATTGAGCAGTTTAGAATCTCTCTGTTTGTAGAATCTGCAAGTAGGTATTTGGAGCCGTTTGTGCCCTGTAGTGGAAAAGGAAATATCTTCAAATAAAAACTACACAGAAGCATTCTCAGAAACTTCTTCATGATGTGTGCATTCACCTCACAGAGTTGAACCTATCTTTTGATTGAGCAGTTTTGAATCTCTCTTTTTGTAGAATCTGCTAGTGGTTATTTGGAGCTCATTGCACCCTATGGTGGAAATGGAAATATCTTCAAATAAAAACTACACGGAAGCATTCTGAGAAACTTCTTTGAGATATGTGCATTCAACTCACAGAGGTGAACCTATCTTTTGATTGAGCAGTTTTCAATCTCTCTTTTTGCAGAATGTGCAAGTGGATATTTGGAGCCCTTTGTGGCTTGTGGTCGAAAAGGAAATATTTTCAAATAAAAACTACACAGAAACATTCTGAGAAACTTCTTTGTGATGTATGCATTCATCTCACAGGGTTGAACCTATCTTACGGTTGAGCAGTTTCGAAACACTCTTTTTCTAGAATCTACATGTGGATATTTGGAGCACTTTGAGGCCTACCGTGGAAAAGCCAATAACTTCAGATAAATACTACACAGAAGCATTCTGAGAAACTTCGTTGTGATGTGTGCATTCATCTCACAGAGTTGAACCTTTCTTTTGATGAGCAGTTTTGAAACACTTTTCGTACAATCTGCAAGTGGATATTTGGAGCCTTTTGAGGCCTTTTGTGGAAAAGGAAATATCTTCACATAAAAACTACACAGAAACATTCTGAGAAACTTCTTTGTCATGTGTGCATTCAATTCACAGAGTTGAATCTTTCTTTTGATTGAACAGTTTTGAAACACTTTTTTTGTACAATCTGCAAGTGGATAATTGGAGCCATTTGAGGTCTATTGTGGAAAAGAAAATACCTTCAATTAAAAACTACTCAGAAGCATTCTGAGAAACTTCTTTGTTATGTGTGCAGTCAACTCACAGAGTTGAACCTATCTTTTTATTGTACAGTTTTGAAACTCTCTTTTTGTAGAATCTGCAAGTGGATATTTAAAGTGCTGTGAGGCCTACTGTGCAAAATATGTTCACATAAAAACTACACAGAAGCATTCTGAGAAACTTCTTTTTGATGTGTGCATTCAACTCACAGAGTTGAACCTATCTTCTGATTGAGCAGTTTGGAATCTCTCTTTTTGCAGAATCTGCAAGTGGATGTTAGGAGAGCTTTTACACCTATTGTGGAAAAGGAAATATCTTCACATAAAAACTACACAGAAGAATTCTGAAAAAATTTTGTGTGGTGTGTATTCAACTCACGGAATTGAACATTTCTTTTGATTGAACAGTTTTGAAATACTTTTTGTTGAATCTTCAAGTGGATATTTGGAGTCCTTTGAGGCCTATTGTGGAGAAGGAATTATCTTTACATAAAAACTACACAGAAGCATTCTGAGAAACTTCTTTATGATTTGTATATTCAACTTTCAGGGTTGAACCTATCTTTTGATTGAGCAGTTTAGTATCTCTCTTTTTGTAGAATCTGCAAGTGGATATTTGGAGCTCTTTGCTCCCTGTGGTGGAAAAGGGAATATCTTCAAATAAAACCTACACAGAAGCATTCTCAGAAATTTCTTCATGATGTGTGCCTTCAACTCACAGAATTGAACCTATGCTTTGATTGAGCAGTTTGAATCTCTCTTGCTGTAGATTCTGCAAGTGGATATTTGGAGCACTTTGAGGCCTATAGCTGAAAAGGAAATGTCTTCACATAAAAACTAGACAGAAGCATTCTGAGAAACTTCTTTGGGATATGTGCATTCAACTCACAGCGTTGAACCTATCTTATGATTGAGTAGTTTTGAAACACTTTTTTTGTAGAATCTGCAGGTGGATATTTGGAGTGCCTTGAGGTCTATTGTGGAAAAGGTAATATCTTCACATAAAAACTATACAGAAACATGCTGAGAAACTACTTTGTGATGTGTGCATTCATCTCACAGAGTTGAACCTTTTTTTTATTGAGCACTTTTGAAACACTGTTTTTGAAGAATCTACAGGTGGATATTTGGAGCACTTTGAGGCCTACTGTGGAAAAGAAAATATCTTCACATAAATAATACACAGAAGCGTTTTGAGAAACTACTTCATGATGTGCACATTCATCTCACAGAGTTGAACATTTCTTATGATTGAGCAGACTGGAAACATTCTTTTTGTAGAATCTGCAAGTGGTTATTTGGAGTGCTTTGAGTCCTAATGTGGAAAAGGAAATATCTTCACATAAAAACTACTCAGAAGAATTCAGAGAAACTTCTTTTTGATGTGTGCATTCACCTCACATAGTTGATCCTTTCTTTTGATTGAGCAGGCTTGAAGCACTCTTTTTCCTTTTTTATTTCATTTTTTATTATTTTTTTATTCTTTTTTTATTTTTTTATTATTATACTTTAAGTTTTAGGGTACATGTGCACAATGTGCATGTTAGTTACATATGTAGCACTCTATTGATAGAACCCAGAAGTGGATATTTGGAGGACTTTGAGGCCTATTTTGGAAAAGAAATATCATCACCTAAAAACTACACAGAAATATTCTGAGATACTTCTTTGTTATGTGTGCATTAAACTCACAGAACTGAAGGTATGTTTTGGTTGAGCAGTTTGGAGTCTCTCTTTTTGGACAATCTGAAAGTGGACATTTGGAGCGCTTTGAGGCCTACTGTGGAAAAGCAAATATCTTCACATAAAAACTACACAGAAGCATTCTGAGGAACTTCTCTGTGATGTGTGCATTCAACTCACAGAGTCCAACCTATCTTTTGATTGAGCAGTTTTGAATCTCTCTTTTTGAAGAATCTGCAAGTGGATATTTTGAGCCCTATGCGGCCTATGGTGGAAAAAGAAATATCTTCAAATAAAAACTAAACAGAAGCATTCTGAGAAACTTCTTTGTGATATTTGCATTCATCTCACAGCGTTGAACGTATCTTATGATTGAGCAGTTTTGTAACACTCTTTTTGTAGAATCTGCAAGTGGATGTTTGGAGTGCCTTGAGGCCTATTGTGGAAAAGGAAATATCTTCACATAAAAACTACATGGAAGCATTCTGAGAAACTTCTTTGTGATGTGTGCAATCATCTCACAGAGTTGATCTTTTCTTTTGATTGAACAGTTTTGAAACACTGTTTCTGTAAAATCTGCAAGTGGATATTTGGAGCGCTTTGAGGCCTACTGTGGAAAAGCAAATATATTCACATGAAAACTACACAGAAGCATTCTGAGAAACTTCGATGTGAGAGGTGCATTCAACTCACAGAGTCGAACCTATCTTTTGATTGAGCAGTTTTGAATCTCCCTTTTGGCAGAATCTGCAAGTGGATATTAGTAGAGCTTTGAGGCCTACTGTGGAAAATGAAATATCTTCACACAAAAACCACACAGAAGAATTCTGAGAAGCTTCTTTGTGATGTGTGCATTCAACTCAGATAGTGGAACCTATCTTTTGATTGGGCTGTTTTGAATCTCTCTTTTTGTAGTATCTGCAAGTGGATATTTGGAGCCCTTTGTGGCCTATGGAGGAAAAGGAAATATCTTCAAATAAAAACTACAGAAAAGCATTCTGAGAAACTTCTTTGTGATGTGTGCATTCATCACACTGGATAGAACCTCTTATGATTGAGCAGTTTGGAAACACTCTTTTTATAGAATCTGCAAGTGTATATTTGGAGGGCTTTGAAGCCGTTTGTGGAAAAGGAAATATCTTCACATAAAACTACACAGAAGCATTCTGAGAAAGTTGTTTGTGATATGGGCACTCATCTCACAGAGTTGATCCTTTCTTTTGATTGAGCAGTTTTGAAACACTTTTTGAAGAATCTGGAAGTGGATGTTTGGAGGGCTTTGAGTCCTCTTTTGGAAAAGGAAATATCTTCACATAAAAACTACACAGAAGGATTCTGAGAAACTTCTTTGTTATGTGTGCATTCAACTCACAGTGTTGAACCCATGCTTTGAATGAGCAGTTTTTAATCTCTCTTTTTGGAGAATCTGCAAGTGGAAATTTGGAGAGCTTTGAGGCCTACTGTGGAAAAGCAAATATCTTCACATAAAAACTACACAGAAGCATTCGGAGAAACTTCTTTTTGATGTGTGCATTCATCTCACATAGTTGAAACTCTCTTTTATTTGAATAGTTTGGAAACACTCTTTTTGCAGTATCTGCAAGGGGACATTTGGCACACTTTGCTGCCAATGGTAGAAAAGGTAATATCTTCACATACATACTAGACGGAAGCATTCTGAGAAACTTCTTTGTGATGTGTGCGTTCATCTCACCGAGTTGAACCTCTCTTTTGATTGAGCAGTTTGGAAACACTCTTTTTGTAGAATCTGCTAGTGGACATTTGGAGCGCTCTGGAGCCTATGGTAGAAAAGGCAAAATCTTCAACTAAAATCTAGTAAGAAGGAATCTGAGAAACTTCTTTGTGATGTGTACATTCATCTCACAGAGTTAAACCTTTCTCTTGATTGAGCAGTTTTGAACTCTCTTTTTGTAGAATATGCAAGTGGACATTTGGAGTGCTTTAAGGCCTAAGGTGGAAAAGGAAACGTCTTCGCATAAAAACTAGACAGAATAATTCGAGAAACTACTTTGTTATGTGTGCATTCATCTCACAGAGTTGAAACTTTCTTTTGATTGAACAGTTTGGAAGCACTGTTTTTGTAGAATCTGCAAGTGAACATTTGGAGCTCTTTGTGGCCTATGGCGGCAAAGGAAATATCTTCACATAAAATCTAGACAGAAGCAATCTGAGAAACTTCTTTGTGATGTGTGCATTCATCTCACAGAGATAAACCTTTCTTTAGATTGAGCAGTTTTGAAATTCTCTTTTTGTATAATCTGCAAGTGGACATTTTGACTGATTTGAGGCCTATGGTGGAAAAGGAAATATCTTCACATAAACATTAGACAGAAGAATTCTGAGAAACTTCTTTGTGAGGTGTACGTTCATCTCACCGAGTTGAACTTTTCTTTGGACAGAGCCGTTTGGAAACACTCTTTTTGAAGAAAATGCAAGTAGACATTTGGAGTGCTTTGTGGCTTATGGTAGAAAACGAAATACCTTCACATAAAATCTAGACAGAAGCAATCTGAGAAACTTCTTTGTGATGTGTGCAATCATCTCACAGAGTTAAACCTTTCTATTAATTGAGCAGTTTTGAAACTCTCTTTTTGTAGAATCTGCAAGTGGATATTTGGAGGGCTTTGAGGCCTGTGGTGGAAAAGGAAATATCTTCTCATAAAAACTAGACAGAAGAATTCTGAGAAATTTCTTTGTGATGTGTGCTTTCCTCTCACAGAGTTCAACATTCCTTTTGATTGAGAAGTTTGGAAACACTCTTTTTGTAGAATCAGCAAGTTGACATTTGGAGAGCTTCGCGGCCTGTGGTAGAAAAGGAACTATCTTCACATAAAATCTAGACAGAAGCAATCTGAGAAATTTCTTTGTGGTGTGTGCATTCCTCTCATTGAGTTAAACCTTTCTTTTGATTGAGCAATATTGAAGCTCACATTTTGTAGAATCTGCAATTGGACATTTGGAGTGCTTTGAGGAGTATGGTGGATAAGGAATAACTTCACACAAAAACTAGACAGAAGAATTCTGAGAAACTACTTCTTGATGTGTGCGTTCATCTCACAGAGGTGAATATTTCCTTGGATTGTGCAGTTTGGAAACACTCTTCTTGTAGAATCTACATGTGGACATTTGGAGCGCTTTGTGGAAGATTGTACAAAGGGAAATATCTTCACATAAAAACTAGGTAGAAGCATGCTGAGAACCTTCTTTTTGATGTGTGTCTTCATCCCATAGAGTTGAAAATGTCTTTTGATTTAGCAGTTTGGAAACACTCTTTTTGTATAATATGAAAGTGGATATTTGGAGCTCTACTTGGTCTATGTTTAAATTGGAAATATGTTCACATAAAATCTAGACAGAAGCAATCCGAGAAACTCCTTAGTGATGTGTGCATTCATCTCACGGAATTAAAACTTTCTTTTGACTGAGGAGTTTTGAAACTCTCTTTTTGTAGAATCTGCAAGTGGACATTTTGGGCGTTTTGAGGCCCATGGTGGAAAAGGAAATATCTTCACATAAAAATTAGATGGAAGCATTCTGAGAAAATTCTTTGTGATGTGTGCATTCATCACCCAGATTTGAAACTTTCTTTTGATGGACCAGTTTTGAAATAGATTTTGTAGAATCTGCAAGTGGACATTTGCAGTGCTGTGAGGCCTACGGTGGAAACGGAAATATATTCACACAAAAACTAGACAGAAGCATTCTCAGAAACTTCTTTGTGATGTGTGAGTTTTTCTCACAGAGTTGAAACTCTCTTTTGATTGAGCAGTTTGGAGACACACTTTTTGTAGAATCTGCAAGTGGACATTTGGAGCGCTTTGCAGCCTATGGTAGAAAAGGAAATATCTTCACATGAAATCTAGACAGAAGCAATCTGAGAAACTGCTTTGTTATGCGTGCATTCATCTCACTGAGTTAAACCTTTATTTTGATTGGGTAGTTTTGAAACTCTCTTTTTGTACAATCTGCAAGTGGACATTTGCAGCGCTGTGAGGCCTATGGTGGAAACGGAAATATATTCACATAACTAGACAGAAGCATTCTCAGAAACTTCTTTGTGATGTGTGCATTCAGCTCATAGAGTTGAACCTTTCTTTTGATTGAGCAGTTTGGAAACACTCTTTCTGTAGTATCTGCAAATGGATATTTGCAGCTCTTTGAGGCCTGTAGCAGAAAAGGAAATATCTTCAAATAAAAACTAGACAGAATTATTCTCCAAAACTTCTTTGTGATGTGTGCATTCATCTCAGAGAGTTGAAACTTTCTTTTGATTGAGCAGTTTTGAAACAATCTTTTTGAAGAATCTGCAAGAGGATATTTGGAGCACTTTGTGGCCAATGGTAGAAAATGAAATATCTTCACATAAAAACTTGACAGAAGCATTGTCAGAAACTTCTGTGTGATGTGTGCATTCAACTCACATAGTTGAAGATTTCTTAAGATTGAGCAGTTTGGAAACACTCTTCTTGCAGTATCCACAAATGGATATTTGGAGCACTTTGATGCCTATAGCTGAAATGGAAATATCTCCACATAAAAATTAGACAGAAGGATTCTGAGAAACTTCTTTGTGATGTGTGCATTCATCTCCCAGAGTTGAAACTTTCTTTTGATTGAGCAGTTTTGAAAATCTTTTTTTGTAGAATCTGCAAGTGGATATTTGGAGCGCTTTGAGGCCAATAGTGACAAAGGAAACCTCTTCACATAAAAATTAGGCAGAAGCATTCTGGAAACTTCTTTGTGATGTGTGCATTCAACTCATGGAGTTGAACCTTTCTTTTGATTGAGCTGTTTGGGAAGACTCATTTTCTAGTATCTGCAAATGGATATTTGGAGCCCTTTGACGTCTATAGCTTAAAAGGAAATATCTTCACATAAAGACTAGACGGAAGTATTCTCAGAAACTTCTTTGTGATGTGTGCATTCAACTCACAGAGTTGAAATTTTCTTTTAATTGAGCAGTTTGGAAATACTCGCTTTGTAGTATCTGCAATTGGATATTTGGAGCACTTTGAGGCCAATAGATAAAATGGAAATATCTTCACATAAAAAGTAGACAGAAGCATTCTGAGAAACTTCTTTGTGATGTGTGCAATCATCTCACAGAATTAAAATTTTCTTTTGATTAAGCAGTTTTGAAACAAACTTTTTGGAGAATCTCCAATTGGTTATTTGGAGAGCTTTGGGGCCTGTGGTAGAAAAGGAAATAACTTCAGATGAAAACTACACAGAAGCATTCTGAGAAACTTCTTAGGGATGTGTGCATTCAACTCAGAATTGAGCCTTCCTTTTGATTGAGCAGTTTGGAAACACTCTTTTTGTAGTATCTGCAAATGGATATTTGCAGGGCTTTGAGGCCTGTAGCTGAAAAGGAAATATCTTCACATAGAAACTAGACAGAAGTATTCTCAGAAACTTATTTGTGATATCTGCATTCATCTCAGAGAGTTGAACCTTTCTTTTGATTGAGCAGTTTTGAAACACTCTTTTTGTAGAATTCGCAAGTGAATATTTGCAGCGCTTAGAGGCCTACATCTGAAAGGAAATATCTTCACATGTAAACTAGACAGAAACATCCTCAGAAACTTCTTTTGATATGTACATTCACCTCACAGATTTGAACCTTTCTTTTTTTGAGCAGTTTGGAAACACTCTTTCTGTAGTATCTGCAAATGGATATTTGCAGCGCTTTGAGGTCTATAGCAGAGAAGGAAATATCTTCACATAAAAACTAGACAGAAGTATTCTCAGAAACTTCTTTGTGATGTGTGCATTCATCTCAGAGAGTTGAACCTTTCTTTTGATTGAGCAGTTTTGAAACACTCTTTTTGTAAAATTTACAAGCGGATATTTGGAGTGCTTTGAGGCGTCTGGTGGAAAAGGAAATATCTTCACATAAAAACTAGACAGAAGCATTCTCAGACACTTCTTTGTGCTGTGTACATTCCTGTCACAGATTTGAACCTTTCTTTTTATTGAGCAGTTTGGAACCACTCTTTTTGCAGTACCTGGAAAAGGATATTAGGAGCCCTTTGAGGCCTACAGCTGAAAACAAAATTTCTTCTAATAAAAAATAGACAGAAGGATTCTCAGAAACTTCTTTGTGTTGTCTGAATTCATCTCACAGAGTTAAACCTTTCTTTTGATTGAGCAGTTTTGAAACTATTCCTTTGTAGAATCTGCAAGTGGACATTTGGAGCAATTTGAGGCCTATGGTGGAAAAGGAAATAACTTCACATAAAAACTAGACAGAAGAATTCTGAGAAACTGCTTTGTTATGTGTCCGTTCATCTCACAGAGATGAACCTTTCTTTTGATTGAGCAGTTTTGAAACACTCTTTTTGGAGAATCTGCCTGTGGACATTTGAGCGCTTTGAGGCCTATGGTGGATAACGAAATATCTTTATATAATAACTAGACAGAAGCACTCTGAGAAACTTCTTTGTGATGTGTGTGTTCATCTCACAGAGTAAAAACTTTCTTTTGATTGAGCAGTTTTGAAACTCTCTTTTTGTAGTATGTGTAAGTGGACATTTGGAGCACTTTGTGGCCTATGGTGGAAAAGGAAATATCTTCACATGAAAAATAGACAGAAGAATTCTGAGAATCTTCTTTGTGAGGTTAGCGTTCATCTCACAGAGTTGAAACTTTATTTGATTGAGCAGTTTTGAAACTCTCTTTTTGTAGAATCTGAAAGAGAACATTTGGAACTCTTTGAGGCCTATGGTGGAAAAGCTAATATCTTCACATAAAAACTAGGAAGAAGAATTCTGAGAAACTTCTTTGTGATGTGTGCATTCATCTCACAGAATTGAACCTTTCTTTTGATTGAGCAGTTTGGAAACACTCTTTTATTAGAATCTGCAAGTGGACATTTGGAGTGCTTTGTGGCCTATGTTATAAAAGGAAATATCTTCACATAAAATCTAGACAGAAACAATCTGAGAAACTACTTTGTGATGTGTTCATTCATCTCACTTATTTAAACCTTTCTTTTGTTTGAGCAGTTTTGAAACTCTCTTTTTGTAGAATTTGCAAGTGGACATTTGGAGGGCTTTGAGGACTATGGTGGAAAAGGAAATATCTTCACATAAAAACTAGACAGAAGAATTCTGAGAAACTTCTTTGTGGTGTGTGTGTTTGTCTCCCAGAGTTGAACCTTTCTTTTGATTGAGAAGTTTGGAAAAACTCTTTTTGTAATATCTGCAAGAGGATGATTTTACGCTTTGGGGCCTATGGTAGAAAAGTAAATATCTTCACATAAAATGTAGACAAAAGCAATCTGAGAAACTTCTTGTGATGTGGGCATTCATCTCCCAAAATCAAAAGTTTCTTTTGATTGAGAAGTTTTGAAACTCTCTTTTTGTAGAGTTTGCAGGGGACATTTGGATTGCCTTGAGGCCTATGATGGAAAAGGAAATAGCTTCACATGAAAACTAGACAGAAGAATTCTGAGAAACCACTTTGTGACGTGTGCATTCATCCCACAGAGTTGAACCTCTCTTTTTATTGAGCAGTTTGGAAACACTCTTTTTGTAGAATCTGCAAGTGTACATTTGGAGTGCTTTGCAGCCCATGGTAGAAAAAAAATATCTTCACATAAAATCTAGACAGAAGCAATCTGGGAAACTTCTTTGTGATGTGTGCATTCATCTCACAAAGTTAAAACTTTCTTTTGATTGAGTAGTTTTGAAACACTCTTTTTGAAGACTCTGCAAGTGGACATTTGGAGCACTTTGAGGCCTATGGTGGAAAAGGAAATATCTCCACATAAAAACTAGACAGAAGAATTCTGAGAAACTTCTCTGTGATGCTTGCATTCATCTCAAATAGTTGAACCTTTCTTTCGATTGAGCAGTTTGGAAACACTCTTTTGGTAGAATCTGCAATTTCAAATTTGGAGCTATTTGCGGCCTATGGTAGAGAAGGAAATATCTTCACATACAATCTAGACAGAAGCAATCTGAGAAACTGCTTTGTGATGTGTGCATTCATCTTACAGAGTTAAACCTTACTTTTGATTGAGCCGTTTTTGAAACTCTGTTTTTGTAGAATCTGCAAGTGTGCATTTGGATCGCTTTGAGGCCTAGGGTGGAAAAGGAAATATTTTCTCATAAAAACTAGAGAGAAGAATTCGGAAAAACTTCTTTGTGACATGTGCGTTCATCTCACAGAGTTGAAACTCTCTTTTGATTGAGCAGTTTTGCAACACTCTTTTTGTAGAATTTGCAAGTGGATATTTAGAGTGCTTTGATGCCTATGGTGGAAAAGGAAATATCTTAACATAAAAACTAGACAGAAGCATTCTCAGAAACTTCTTTTTGATGTGTGCGTTCAACTCACAGAGTTGAACCTTTCTTTTGATTGAGCAGTTTGGAAACACTCTTTTTATACTATCTGCAAATGGGTATTTACAGCTCTTTGAGGAGTATAGCTGAAAAGGCAATATCCTCACATAAAAAGTAGACAGAAGCATTCTGAGAAACCTCTTTGGGATGTGTGCATTCATCTCACAGAGTTGAACCTTTCTTTTGATTGCGTAGGTTGGAAACACTCTTTTTGTAGAATCTGCAAGTGGACATTTGGAGTGCTTTACAGCCTATGATAGAAAAAGAAATATCTTCACATAAAATCTAGACAGAAGCAGTCTGAGAAACTTCTGTGTTATGTGTGCATTCATCTCACAAAGTTAAAACTTTCTTTTGATTGAGCAGTTTTGAAACTCTCTTTATGTAGAAACTGCAAGTGGACATTTGGAGCACTTTGAGGCCTATGGTGGAAAAGTAAATATCTTCACATTAAAACTAGACAGAAGAATTCTGAGAAACTTCTTTGTGATGCTTCCTTTCATCTCAGAGAGTTGAAGCTTTATTTGATTGAGCAGTTTGGAAACACTCTTGGTAGAATCTGCAAGTTGAAAATTGGAGCTCTTTGTGACCTATGGTAGAGAAGGAAACATCTTCACATAAAATCTAGACAGAAGCAATCTGAGAAACTGGTTTGAGATGTGTGCATTCATCTCACAGGGTTGAACCTTTCTTTTGATTGAGCAGTTTTGAAACTATCTTTTTGTAAAATCTGCAAGTGGATATTTGGAGTGCTTTGAGGCCTATGCTGTAAAAGGAAATGTCATCACATAAAAACTACACAGAAGCATTCTCAGAAAGTTCACTGTGATGTGTGCATTCATCTCATAGAGTTAAACCTTTCTTTTGATTGAGCAGTTTGGAAACACTCTTTTTATACTATTTGCAAATGGGTATTTACAGCTCTTTGAGGAGTATAGCTGAAAAGGCAATATCCTCACATAAAAAGTAGACAGAAGCATTCTGAGAAACCTCTTTGTGATGTGTGCATTCATCTCACAGAGTTGAACCTTTCTTTTGATTGAGCAGTTTGGAAACACTCTTTTTGTAGTATCTGCAAGTGGACATTTGGAGTGCTTTGCGGCCTGTGGTAGAAAAGGAAAGATCTTCACAAAAAATCTAGACAGAAGCAATCTGAGAAACTTCTTTGTGATGTGTGCATTCATCTCACAAAGTTAAAACTTTCTTTTGATTGAGCAGTTTTGAAACTCTCTTTTTGTAGTATCTGCAAGTGGATATTTTGAGCACTTTGAGGCCTATGATGGAAAAGGAAATATCTTAACATAAAAACTAGACAGAAGCATTCTGAGAAACTTCTTTGTGATGCTTGCATTCATCTCAAAGAGTTTAACCTTTCTTTGAGCAGTTTGGAAACACTCTTTTGGTAGAATCTGCAAGTTCAAATTTGGAGGTCCTTACGGCCTGTTAGACAAGGAAATATCCTCACATAATATCTAGAGAGAAGCAATCTGACAAACTGGTTTGTGATGTGTGCATTCAACTCACATTGTTGAACCTTTCTTTTAATTAAGCAGTTTTGAAACACTCTTTTTGTGGAATATGTAAGTGGATATTTGGAGCGCTTTGAGGCCTATGCTGGAAAAGGAAATATCTTCACCTAAAAAGTAGACAGAAGCATTCTCAGAAACTTCTTCGTGATGTGTGCATTCAGCTCATGGAGTTGAACCTTACTTTTGATTGAGCAGTTTGGAAACACTCTTTTTATAGTATCTGCAAATGGATATTTGCAGCGCTTTGAGGCCTATAGGGGCACAGGAAATATCTTCACATAAAAACTAGACAGAAGCATTCTGAGAAACTTCTTTGGTATGTGTGCATTCATCTCACAGATTTTAACCTTTTTTTTGATTGAACAGTTTTGAAACACTCTTTTTGGAGAATGTGCATGTGGATATTGGGAGTGATTTGAGGCCTATGGTGGAAAATGAAATATCTTCACATAAAAACTTGACAGAAGCATTGTCAGAAACTTCATTGTGATGTGTGCATTCAACTCACAGAGTTGAAGTTTTCTTTTGATTGAGCAGATTGGAAAAACCCTTTTTACAGTATCCACAAATGGATATTTGGAGTGCTTTGAGGCCTATAGCTGAAATGGAAATATCTTGACATAAAAATTAGACAGAAGCATTCTGAGAAACTTCTTTGTGATGTGTGTGTTCATTTCAAAGAGTTGAACCTTTCTTTTGATTGAGCAGTTTTGAAAATCTCTTTTTGTAGAATCTGCAAGTGGATAATTGGAGTGCTTTGAGGCCAATGTGGAAAAGGAAATATCTCCACATAAAAACAAGACAGAAGTATTCTGAGAAACTTCCTTGTGATGTGTGCATTCAACTCACAGAGTTGAACTTTCTTTTGATTGAGCTGTTTGAAAACACTCATTTTGTAGTATCTGCAAATGTATATTTGGAGCACTTTGATGTCCATAGCTTAAAAGGATATATCCTAACATAAAAACTAGACAGAAGCATTCTCAGAAACTTCTTTGTGATGTGTGCATTCAACTCACAGAGTTGAAGCTTTCTTTTGATTGAGCAGTTTGGAAACACTGGCTTTGTATTATCTGCAATTGGATATTTGGAGCACTTTGAGGCGTATAGCTGAAAAAAGAATTATGTTCACATATAAAGTAGACAGAAGCACTCTGAGAAACTTCTGTGTGCATTCATCTCACAGAGATAAACCGTTCTTTTGATTAAGCAGTTTTGAAACACACTTTTTGGAGAATCTGCAAATGGATATTTGGAGCGCTTAGAGGCCTGTGGTGGAAAGCAAACATCTTCCCATAAAAACTAGACTGAAGCATTCTGAGAAACTTCTTTGTGATGTGTGCATTGAACTCCGAGTTGAACCTTTCTTTTCATTGAGCAGTTTGCAAAGACTCTTTTTGTAGTATCTGCAAATGGATATTTGGAGCACTTTGAGGCCTATAGCTGAAAAAGAAATATCTTCACATAAAAACTAGACAGAAGCATTCTCAGAAACTTCTTTGTGATGTGTGCATTCAACTCACAGAGTTGAAGCTTTCTTTTGATTGAGCAGTTTGGAAACACTCATTTTGTAGTGTCTGAAAATGTCTATTTGGAGTGCTTTGAGGCCTATAGCTGAAAGGAAATATCTTCACATAAAACCTAGACAGAAACATCCTGAGAAACTTCTTTGTGATGTGTGCATTCATCTCACAGAGTTGAAATTGTCTTTTGATTGAACAGTTTTGAAACACTCTTTTTGTAGAATCTGCAAGTGGATATTTGGAGGGCTTTGAGGCCTATGGTGGAAAAGGAAATATCATCACTTAAAAACTAGACAGAAACATTCTCAGAAACTACTTTGTGATGTGTGCATTTAACTCACAGAGTTGAAGCTTTCTTTTGATTGAGCAGTTTGGAAACACTCTTTTGGTAGTGCTTTGCGGCCTATGGTAGAATAGGAAATATTTTCGCATAAAAACTAGAGAGAAGAATTATGAGAAACTTCTCTGCTATGTGTGCGTTCATCTCACGGAGTTGAACCTTTCTTTTGATTGTGAATTTTGGAAACACTCTTTTTTTAGGACCTGCAAGTGGACATTTGGTGTGCTTTGCAACCTATGGTAGAAAAGGAAATATCTTCACATAAAAACTAAACAGATCCTGAGGAACTTCTTTGTGATGTGTGCATTCATCTCACAGAGTTGAACTTTTCTTTTGATTGCATAGTTTCAAAACACTCTTTTGGTAGAATCTGCATGTGGAAATTTGGAGCGCTTTGCAGCCTTTGGGAGAAAAGGAAATATCTTCACATAAAATCTAGACAGAAGCCATCTGAGAAACTTTGTTGTGATGTGTGCATTCACCTCCAAGGGATGAACCTTTCTTTTGATAGACCAGTTTTGAAATACTCCTTTTGTGGAATCTGCAAGTGGACATTTCAAGCACCTTAAGGTCTATGGTGGAAAATAAAATATCTTCACATAAAAACTAGACAGAAGAATTCTGAGAAACTTCTTTGTGATGTGCGCGTTCATCTCACAGAGTTGAATCTTTCTTTTGATTGAGCAGTTTGGAAACACTCTTATTGTAGAATCTGCACATGGACATTTGGAGCGTTTTGCTGCCTGTGGTAGAAAAGGAAATAACTTCACATAAAATCTAGACAGAAGCAATCTGAGAAACTTCTTTGTGATGTGTGCATTCATCTCACAGAGGTAACCCTTTCTTTGAGTAGTTTTGAAACTCTCTTTTTGTAGAATCTGCAAGTGGACATTTGGAGTGCTTTGAGGCCTATGGTGGAAAAGGAAATATCTTCACATAAAAACTAGATATAAGCATTCGGAGAAACTTTTTTACGATGTGTGCATTCATCACCCAGAGTTGAACCTTTCTTTTTATGGAACAGTTTTGAAATATTCCTTTTGTAGAATCTGCAAGTGGACATTTGGAGTGCTTTAAGGCCTAAGGTGGAAAAGGAAACGTCTTCGCATAAAAACTAGACAGAATAATTCTGAGAAACTACTTTGTTATGTGTGCGTTCATCTCACAGAGTTGAAAACTTTCTTTTGATTGAGCAGTTCGGAAACACTCTTACGGTAGAATCTGCAAGTTGACATTTGGAGCACTTTGCAGCCAATGTTAGAAAAGGAATTATCTTCACATAAAATCTAGACAGAAGTAATCTGAGAGATTTCCTTGTGATGTGTGCATTCATCTCACAGAGTTAAACCTTTCTTTTCATTGAACAGTTTTGAAACACTCTATTTGTAGAATCTGCAAGTGGACATTTGGGGCACTTTGAGGCCTATGGTGGAAAAGGAAACATCTTCACATAAAATCTCGACAGCAGAATTGTGAGAAAAATCTTTGTGACATGTGTGTTCATCTCACAGAATTCAACATTTCTTTTCATTGAGCAGTTTGGAAACACTCTTTTTATAGGATCTGCAAGTGGACATTTGGAGTGATTTGCGGCCAATCGTAGAAAAGGAAATATCTTCACATAAAACCTAGAGAGAAGCAATCTGAGAAACTTCTTTGTGATGTGTGCATTCATCTCACAGAGTTAAACCTTTCTCTTGATAGAGCAGTTTTGAAACTCTCTTTTTGTAGAATCTGCAATTGGACATATGGAGAGCTTTGAGTCCCATGGTGGAAAATGAAATATCTTCAAGTAAAAACTAGATAGAAGCATTCTGAGCAACTTCTTTGTGATGTGTGCATTCATCTCCCAGCATTGAACATTTCTTTTGATTGACCAGTTTTGAAATACGTTTTTGGTAGAATCTGCAAGTGAACATTTCGAGTGTCTTGAGGCCTATGGTGGAAAAGGAAATATCTTTACATAGAAACTAGACAGAAGGATTCTGAGAAACTACTTTGTGATGTGTGCATTCATCTTCTAAGTTTGAAGCTTTCTTTTGATTTAGAAGTTTGGAAACACTCTTTTTGTAGAATCAGCAAGAGAATATTTGGAGTGCTTTGGGGCCTATGGTAGAAAAGGAAATATCTTCACATAAAATCTAGACAGAAACAATCTGAGAAACTTCTTTGTGATGTATGAATTCATCTCACTGAGTTATAATTTTCTTTTTATTGAGCAGTTTTGAAACTCTCTTTTTGTAGAACCTGCAAGTAGACATTTGTAGCGCTTTGAGGGCTATCGTGGAAAAGGAAATATCTTCACATAAAAACTAGTCAGAAGAATTCTGAGAAACATTTTTGTGATGTGTGCGTTCATCTCACAGAGTTGAAACTTTCTTTTGATTGAGGAGTTTTGAAACACTCTTTTTGTAGACTCTGCAAGTGGACATTTAGAGCTCTTTTCGGCCTATCGTAGAAAAGGAAATATCTTCATGTAAAATTTAGACAGAAGCAACCTGAGAAACTTCTTTGTGATGTGTGCATTTGTCTCACAGAGGTAAGCCTTTCTTTTGATTGAGCAGTTTTGAAACTCTCTTTTTGTAGAATCTGCAAATGGACATTTGGAGGGCTTTGAGGTCTATGGTGGAAAAGGAAATATCTTCATATAAAAACTAGTCAGAAGAATTCTGAGAAACTTTTTTGTGATGTGTGCGTTCATCTCACAGAGTTGAATCTTTCTTTATACTGAGCAGTTTGGAAACACTCGTTTTGTAGAATCTGCAAGTGGATATTTGGAGCGCTTTGCGGACTATGGTAGAAAAGGAAATATCTTCACATAAAATCTAGACAGAAGCAATCTGAGAAACCTCTGTGTGATATGTGCATTCATCTAACTTAGTTAAACCTTTCTTTTCATTGAGCCATTTTGAAACTCTCTTTTTGTAGGATCTGCAAGTGGACATTTGGAGCATTTTGAGGCCTATGGTGGAAAAGGAAATATCTTCACATTAAAACTAGACAGCAGCATTCTCAGAAACTCCTTTGTGATGTGTGCATTCAACTCAGAGAGTTGAAACTTTCTTTTGATTAAGCATTTTGGCAACAAACTTTTTGAAGTATCTGCAAATAGATATTTGGAGCCTTTTGACTCCTATAACTGAAAAGGAAATATCTTCACACAAAAACTAGACAGAAGCATTCTGAAAAACTTGTTTGTGAAGTGTGCATTCATCTCACACAGTTGAATCATATTTTTGATTGAGCAGTTAGGAAACACTCTTTTTGTAGAATCTGCAAGTGGATATTTGGAGCACTTTGGGGCCTATGGCAGAAAAGGAAATATCTTATCATAGAAATTAGACTGAAGCATTCTCATGTACTTCTTTGTGATGTGTGATTTCAACTCACCGAGTTGAACATTTTTTTGATTGAGCAGTTTGGAAACACTCTTTTGTAGAATCTGCAAGTGGAAATTTGGAGCGCTTTGTGGCCTAGAGCTAAAAAGGTAATATCTTCACATAAAAACTAGACAGAAGCTTTCTCAGAAAATTCTTTGTCATGTGTGCATTCATCTCACAGACTTGAAACTTTCTTTTGTCTGAGCAGATTTGAAACACTCTTTTTGTACAATCTGCAAAAGGGTATTTGGAGTGCTTTGAGGCCTATGGTGGAAAAAGAAATATCTTCACATAAAAACTGGACAGAAGGATTCTCAGAAACTTCTTTGTGATGAGTGCATTCAACTCACAGACTTGAACCTTTCCTTTGATTGAGCAGTTTGGGAACACTATTTTTGTAGTATCTTCAAAGGGATATTTGGAGCGCTTTGAGTCCTATAGCAGAAAAGGAAATAGCTTCACATAAAAATTAGACAGAAGCATTCTCAAAGACTATTTTGTGATTTGTGCATTCATCTCACAGAGTTGAAACTTTCTTTTGATTGAGCAGTTTTGAAACATTCTTTTTGTAGAATCTGCAAGTGGATATTTGGAGCGCTTTGGGTCCTATGGTGGAAAAGAAAATATCTTCTTATAAAAACTAGACACAAGCATTGTGAGAAACTTCTCTGTGATGTGCGCATTCACCTCACAGAGGTGAAGCTTTCTTTTGATTGAGCTGTTTGTAAACACTCATTTTGTAGTATCGGCAAATGGATATTTGGAGCGCTTTGACGCCTATAGCTGAAAAGCAAATATCTTCACATAAAAACTAGACAGAAGCATTCTCAGAAACTTCTTTGTGATTTGTGCATTCAACTCACAGCGTTGAAGCTTTCTTTTGATTGAGCAGTTTGGAAACACTGTTTTTGTAGTATCTGTAAATGGATATATGGAGCACTTTGAGGCCTATAGCTGAAAAGGAAATATCTTCATATAAAAACTAGACAGAAGCATCCTGAGAAACTTCTTTGTGATGTGTGCATTCATCTCACAGATTTGAACCTTTCCTTTGATTGAGCAGTTTGTAAACCCTCTTTTTGTAGAATCTGCAAGTGGAGATTTGGAGCGCTTTGAGGCCTGTGGTGGAAAAGGGAATATATTCACATGAAAACTAGACAAAAGCATTCTCAGATACTTCTTTATGTTATGGGCATTCAACTCATAGATTTGAACCTTTCTTTTCATTGAGCAGTTTGGAAACACTCTTTTTCCTGTGTCTGCAAGTGGATATTTGGAGCGCTTTTAGGCCTATAGTTGAAAAGGAAACATTTTCACATAAAAACTAGACAGAAGCAATCTGAGAAAATTCTTCATGATGTGTGCATTCTTCTCACATAGTTAAACGTTTCTTTTGATCGAGCAGTTTTGAAACACTCTTTGTAGAACCTGGAAGAGGATATTTAGAGTGCTTTGGTGCCTAAATCTGAAAAGGAATTATATTCACATGAAAAGTAGACAGAAGTATTCTGAGAAATTTCTTTGTGATGTGTGCATTCATCCCACAGAGTAGAATCTTTTTTTGACTGAGCAGTTTGGAAAAACCCTTTTTGTACATTCTGAAAGTGAATATTTGGAGCACTTTGAGGCCTACGGTGGAAAAGGAAATATCTTCACAGAAAACTAGACAGAAGCATTCTCAGAAAATTCTTTGTGATTTGTGCATTCAACTCACAGAGTTGAAGCTTTCTTTAGTTTCAACAGTTTGGGAACACTCTTTTTGTGGTATCTGCGAATGGATATTTGGAGTGCTTTGAGACCTATATCTGAAAAAGAAATATGTTCACATAAAAACTAGACAGAAGCAAACTGACAAACTTCTTCATGCTGTGTGAACTCATGTCCCAGAATTGAACCTTTCTTTTGAAGGACCAGTTTTGAAATACTTTTTTAGCAGAATCTGCAAGTGGACAATTCTAGTGCCTTCAGGCCTACAGAGGAAAAGGAAATATCTTCATATAAAAACTACACAAAAGAATTCTGAGAAACTCCTTTTGATGTGTGCGTTCATCTCACAGAGTTCAACATTTCTTCTGACTCAGCCGTTTTTGAAACTCTCTTTTTGTAGAATCTGCAAGTGGATATTTGGAGCACTTTGAGGCTCATGGTGGAAAAGGAAATATCTTCACATAAAAACTACAGAGAAGAATTCTCAGAAACTTCTTTGTGATGTGTGCATTCATCTCACAGAGTTGAAACTTCCTTTTGATTGAACAGTTTTGAAGCACTCTTTTTGTAGAATCTGCAAGTGGACAATTGGAGCGCTTTGCGGGCTATGATAGAAAAGGAAATATCTTCACATAAAATCTAGACAGGAACCATCTGAGAAACCTCTTCATAATGTGTGCATTCATCTCACAGAGTTAAAACTTTCTTTTCATTGAGAAGTTTTGAAACTCTTTTTTTGTAGGATCTGCAAGTGGACATTTGGAGCGCTTTGAGGCCTGTCGTGGAAAAGGAAATATCTTCACATAAAAAATAGACAGAAGAAATATGAGAGACGTCCTTGTGATGTGTGCATTCATCACACAGAATTGAACCTTTCTATTGATTGAGGAGTTTTGAAACACTCTTTTCGTAGAATCTGCAAGTGGACATTTGGAGCACTTTGCGGTCTATGGTAGAAAAAGAAATATCTTCACTTAAAATCTAGACAGAAGCAATCTGAGAAACTTCTTTGTGATGTGTGCATTTGTCTCACAGAGGTAAACCTTTCTTTTGATTGAGCAGTTCTGAAACTCTCTTTTTGTAGTATCTGTAGGTGGATTTTTGGAGCCCTTTGAGGCCTCTGGTGGAAAAGGAAATATCTTCACATAAAAACTAGACAGAAGCATTCTCTGAACCTTCTTTGTGATGTGTACATTCAACTCACAGTTTTGAACATTTCTTTTGATTGAGCAGTTTGGAAATACTCTTTTTGTAGAATCTCCAAGTGGAGATTTGGAGCGCTTTGAGGCCTATGGTGGAAAATAAAATATCTTCACATAAAAACTAGACAGAAGCATTCTCAGATACTTCTTTGTGATCTGGACATTCAACTCATAGAGCTGAACCTTTCTTTTCTTTGAGCAGTTTGGAAACACTCTTTTTCCAGTATCTGCAAGTGGATATTTGGAGCGCTTTTAGGCCTATAGCTGAAAAGGAAATATCTTCACATAAAAACTAGAAAGAAGCAATCTGAGAAAATTCTTCATGATGTGTGCATTCACAGAGTTGAATTTGGACTGCTTTGAGGCCCATGGTGGAAAAGGAAATATCACATAAAAACTAAAAAGAAGCATTCTCAGAAACATTTTTGTGATGTGTGCATGTAACTCATAGGGTTGAACCTTTCTTTTAATTGAGCAGTTTCTAAACACTCTTTCTGTAGTATCTGCAAATGGATATTTGCAGCAGTTTGAGGCCTGTAGCGGAAAAGGAAATATCTTCACATAAAAACTATACAGAAGAATTCTCAGTAACTTCTTTGTGATGTGTGTATTCATCTCAGAGAACTGAAGCTTTCTTTTGATTGAGGAGTTTTGAAATGCACTTTTTGTAGAATCTGCAAGTGGATATTTGGAGCGCTTTGAGGCCTTTGGTGGAAAAGGAAATATCTTCACATAAATCTAGACAGAAGCATTCTCAGAAACTCTTTTGTGATGTGTGCACTCAACTCAGAGAGTTGACCCTTTCTTTTCATTAAGCAGTTTGGAAACAAACGTTTTGAAGTATCTGCAAGTGGATATTTGGAGAGCTTTGACTCCTGTAACTGAAAAGGAAATATCTTGACATAAAAACAAGACAGAAGCATTCTGAGAAACTTGTTTGTGATGTGTGCATTCATCTCACAGAGTTGAACCGCACTTTTGATTGAGCAGTTAGGAAACACTCTTTTTGCAGAATCTGCAAGTGGATATTTGAAGCGCTTTGAGGCCTATGGTGGAAAAGGAAATATCTTCACATAAAAACTAGACAGAAGCATTCTCAGATACTTCTTACTGATGTGTGGTTTCAACTCACCGAGTTGAACAATTCTTTTGATTGAGCAGTTTGGAAACACTCTTTTTGTAGTATCTGCAAATGGATATTTTGTGCACTTTGAGGCCTATAGGTGAAAAGTAAATCTCTTCACATAAAAACTAGTCAGAAGCATTCTGAGAAACTAATTTGTGATGTGTGCATTCATCTCACAGAGTTGAACCTTTCTTTTGTTTGATCAGTTTGCAAAGACTCTTTTTGTAGTATCTGCAAATGGATATTTGGAGTGTTTTAGGCCTATAGCTGAAAAGAAAGTATCTTCACATAAAAACTAGACAGAAGCATTCTCAGAAACTTCTTTGTGATGTAAGCACTCATCTCACAGAGTTGAACCTTTCTTTTGATTGAGGAGTTTTGAAACAGTCTTTTTGCAGAATTCGCAAGTGGATATTTGGAGCACTTTGAAGCCTCTGGTGGAAAAGGAAATATCTTCAAATGAAAACTAGACAGAAGCATTCTCAGAAAATTCTTTGTGGTGTGTGCATTCATCTCACAGTGTTGAACCTCTCTTTTGATTGAGCAGTTTTGAAACACTCCTTTGTAGAATCTGCAAGTGGGTATTTGGAGCGCTTTGAGGCCTACGGTGGAAAACAAATATCTTCACATAAAAACTAGACAGAAGCATTCTCAGGTACTTCTTTGTGATGTGTGCATTCAACTCACAGAGTTGAACCTTTCTTTTGATTGAGAAGTTTAGAAAAACTCTTTTTGTAGAATCTGAAAGTGGATTATTGGAGTGCTTTTAATTCTACAGTGGAAAAGGAAGTACATTCTCATAAAAACAAGACAAAAGCATGTTCAGAGGCTCCTTTGTGATGAAGGCATTCAACTAACAGAGCTGAGCCTTTCTTTTGATTGAGCAGTTTGGAAAAACTCTTCTTGTAGTGTCTACAAATGAATATTTTGAGCGCTTTGAAGCCTATAGCTGAAAATGAAATATCTTCATATAAAAAATAGAAGCATTCTCAGAAACTTATTTGTGATGTGAGCATTCAACTCACAGAGTTGAAGCTTTCTTTTGGTTAAGCAGTTTGGAAACATTCATTATGTACTGTCTGCAAATGGATATTTGGAGTGCTTTGAGGCCGATAGCTTAAAGGAAATATCTTCACGTAAAAACTAGAGAGAAGCATCCTGAGAAACTTCTTTGTGATGTGTGCATTCATCTTACACAGTTGAGACTTTCTTTTGATTGAACAGTTTTGAAACACTCTTTTCGTAGAATCTGAAAGTGGCTATTTGGAGCACTTTGAGGCCTATGGTGGAAAAGGAAATATCTTCACATAAAAACTAGACAGAAGCATTCTCAGAAACTACTTTGTGATGTGTGCATTCGCCTCACAGAGTTGAAGCTTTCTTTTCTTTGAGCAGTTTGGAAACACTTTTTGTAGTATCTGCAAATGGATATTTGGAGTGCTTTGAGGTCTATAGCTGAAAGGAAATATCTTCACATAAAAACTAGGCAGAAGCATCCTGAGAAAATTCTTTGTGATGTGTGCATACATCTCACAGAGTTGAACTTTCCTTTTGATTGAGCAGTTTTGAAACACTCTTTTTGAAGTATTTTCAAATGGATATTTACAGTGCTTTGAGGCCTATAGCCGAAAAGGAAGACTCTTCACCTAAAAACTAGACAGAAGTATTCTCAGAAACTACTTTGTGATGTGTGCATTCAACTCACAGAGTTGAAGCTTTCTTTTGATTGAGCAGTTTGGAAACACTCTTTTTGTTGTATCAGCCAATGGATATTTTGAGCACTTTGAGTCCTATAGATGAAAAGGAAATCTCTTCACATAAAAACTAGGCAGAAGCATTCTGAGAAACTTCTTTGTGATGTATTCATTCATCTCACAGAGTTGAACCTTTCTTTTGATTGAGCAGTTTTGAAACTCTCTTTTTGTAGAATCTACAGGTGGACATTTGGAGCGCTTTTCAGCCTACATTTCAAAAGGAAATATCTTCACATAAAATCTAAACAGAAACAATCTGAGAAACTTCTTTGTGATGTGTGCATTCATTTCACAGAGTTAAACCTTTGTTTTGATTGAGCAGTTTTGAAACTCTGTTTTTGTAGAATCTGCAAGTGGACATTTGGAGTGCTTTGTGGCCTATGTTATAAAAGGAAATATCTTCACGTAAAATCTAGACAGAAGCAATCTGAGAAACTTCTTTGTGATGTGTTCATTCATCTCATGGATTTAAACCTTTCTTTTGTTTGAGCAGTTTTGAAACTCTCTTTTTGTAGAATGTACAAGTGGACATTTGGAGCCTTGAACCTTTTTTTGATTTAGCAGTTTTGAAACACTCCTTTTGTAGAATCTACAAGTAGAATGCATACATCACAAAGAAATTTCTCAGAATGCTTCTGACTAGTTTTTATGTAAAGATGTTTCCTTTTCCTCCATAGACCTCAAATCACTCCAAATATCCACTTGCAGATATAGAAAAAGACTTTTTCAAAACTGCTCAATCAAAAGAAAAGTTCAACTGTGTGAGATGAATGCACACATCACACAGAAGTTTCTCAGAATGCTTCTGTCTAGTTTTTATGAGAATATATTTCCTATTTCTACGTAGGCCTCAATGGGTGCACAAATATCCCTTTGCAGAATCTACAAAACGACTGTTTCCAAACTTTTCCATCAAAAGAAAGTTTGAACTCTGTGAGGTGAATGTGCACATCACAAAGAACTTTCTCAGAATCCTTCTGTGTAGTTTTTATGTGAAGATATTTCATTTTTCACAATAGGCCTCAAAGTGCTACAAATATCCATTTACAGATTCTACAAAAAGAATGTTTCCAAACTGCTCAATCAAAAGAAAATTTCAACTCTGTGGGATGAAAACACACATGACAAAAAAGTTTCTCCGACAGTTTCAGTCTAGTTTTTATGTGAAGATATAAACTATTTCCCCAGCATCGTCAATGGGCTAATAAATGTCCCTATGCAGATTCTAAGGATCGACTGTTTCCAAACTGCCCAATCAAAAGAAAGTTTCAACTCTGTGAGATGAAAGCACACATCACAAAGAAGTTTCTCAGAAAGTTTCTGTCTAGTTTTTATGTGAAGATATTTCCTATTTCCCCATATGCCTCATTGAGTTCACAAATATCCCTTTGCAGCTGCTTCAAAACGACTGATCCCAAACTGCTCAATCAAAAGGAATTTCCAACTCTGTGAGATGAATGCACTCTTCACAAAGAAGTTTCTCAGAATGTTTCTGTCTAATTTTTATGTGAACATATTTCCTTTTCCACCACAGGCCTCTATGAGCTCCAAGTATCCACTTGCAGATTCCACAAAAAGAGTGTCTCAAAACTGCTCAATGAAAAGAAAGCTTCCCTGTAACATAAATGAGCACATCAAAAAGAAGTTTCTCAGACTGCTTCTGTCTAGCTTGATGTGAAAATATTTCCTTATCCATCATAGGACTCAAAGTGCTCCAAATATCCACTTGCAGATACTACAAAAAGACTCTTTCCAAACTCCTCAATCAAAAGAAAGGTTCAACTCTGTGAGATGAATGCACTCATCATGAAAAGTTTCTCCAATTTCTTCTGTCTAGTTTTCATGTGAAGATATTTCCTTTTTCACCATATGCCTCAAAGCACTCCAAATATCCATTTCAGGATTCTACAAAAAGACTCTTTCCAATCTAGTCAATCAAAAGAAAGTTTCAACTCCTTGAAACATCACAAAGAAAATTCTCAGAACGTTTCAGTGTAGTTTTTATGTGACAATATTTCCTATTGCTCCTTAGGCCCCAATGGGTTCAGAAATATGCCTTTGCAGATTCTACAAAACGACGGTTTCTAAACTGCTTAATCAAAAGAAAGGTTCATGTCTGTGAGATGAAGGTGCACATTACAAAGAAGTTTCTCAGAATGCTTCTGCCTACTTTTTATGTGAAGATATTTCCTTTTTCACCATAGGCCTCAAAGCGCTCCGAATATCCATTTGCAGATTCCATAAAAAGACTGTTTCCAAACTGCTCAACCAAAACAAAGTTTCAACTCTGTGAGACGAAAGCACACATCACAAAGAAGTTTCTCAGAAAGGTTCTGTCTAGTTTTAATGTGAAGATATTTTCTACTTCCCATAGGCCTCAGTGAGCTCACAAATATCCCTCCACAGATTCTTCAAAACAACTGTATCCAAATTGCTCCATCAAAAGAAATGTTCAACTCTGTGAGATGAATGCACACATCACAAAGAATTTTCTCAGAATGCTTTGGTCTAGTCATTATGTGAAGATATTTCCTTTTTCACTGTAGGCTTCAAGGCGATCCAAATATCCTTTTGAAGGTACTACAAAAAGACTTTTTCCAAACTGCTCAATCAAGAGAAACGTTCAACACTGTGAGATGAATGCACACGTCACAAAGAAGTTTCTCAGAATTGTTCTGTCTAGTTTTTATGTGAAGATATTTCCTTTTTCACCATAGGCCTAAAAGCAATCCAACTATCCATTTGCAGATTCTACAAAAACACTGTTTACAAACTGCTCAATCAAAAGAAAGTTTCAACTCTGTGGTATGAAAACACACATCACAAAGAAGTTTCTCAGAATGCTTCTGTCTACTTTTTATGTCAAGAAATTTCCTATTTCCCCATAGGCCTCAAAGGGCTCACAAGTATCCCTTTGCGGATCCTACAAAATGACTGTTTCAAAACTACTCAATCAAAGGAAATATTCAACTCTGTGAGATGAATGAACCCATCACAAAGAAGTTTCTCAGAGTGCTTCTGTCTAGTGTTTAGGTGAAAATATTTCCTCTTCCACAATAGGCCTAAAAGCGTTCCAAATATCCACTTGGAGATTCTACAAAAAGAGTGTTCCCAAACTGCTCAATCAAAAGACAGGTTCAACTCTCTGAAATGAAAGCACACATCACAAAGAAGTTTCTCAAAAGCCTTCTGTCTCATTTTAATGTTAAGATATTTCCCGTTTCTCCATAGGCCTCAAGGCGCTCCAAATATCCATTTGCAGATACCACAATAAGACTATTTCCAAACTACTCAATCAAAAGAAAGGTTCAAGACTGTAAGATGAATGAAAACATCCAAAAGAAGTTTCTCAAAATGTTTCTGTCTAGTTTTTATGTGAAGATATTTCCTTTTTCACCATAGGCCTCAAAGCACTCAAAATATCCATTTGTAGATTCTACAAAAAGACTGTTTCCAAACTGCTCAACCAAAAGAAAGTTTCAAATCTGTGAGATGAAAGCACACCTCACAAAGAACTTTCTCAAAAAATTTCTCTCTAGTTTTTATATGAAGATATTTCCTATTTCCCCATAGGCGTCAATGGGCTCACAAATATCCCTTTGCAGATTCTACAAAATGACTGCTTCTAAACTGCTCAATCAAAAGAAATATTCAACTGTGTCAGATGAATGCACCCATCCATCACAAAGAAGTTTCTTAGCATGTTTCGATCTAGTTTTTAGGTGAAGATATTCCCCATGCCATAAAAGCCTTCAAAGAGTTCCAAATATCCCCTTGCAGATTCTACAAAAACAGTGTTCCCAAACTGCTCAATCAAAAGAAAGGTTCAACTCTGTGAAATGAAAGCACACATCACAAAGAAGTTTCTCAAAAGGATTATCTTTCGTTTTTATGTTAAGATATTTCCTTTTTCACCATAGGCCTCAAAGCACTCCAAATATCCATTAACAGATACAACAAAAAGACTGTTTCCAAACTGCTCAATCGAAAGAAAAGTTCAACTCTGTGAGACGAATGCACACATCACAAAGAAGTTTCTCAGAATGCTTCCGTCTATTTTTTATGTGAAGATATTTCCTTTTTCACCATAGGCCTAAAAGCGCTCCAAATATCCATTTGCAGATTCTACAAACAGATTGTTTTCAACCTACTCAATCAAAAGAAAGTTTCATCTCTGTGAGACGAAAGCACACATCTCAAAGAAGTTTCTCAGAAACTTTCTGTCTAGTTTTTATGTGAAGATATTTCCTATTTCCCCATAAACCTCAGAGATAAGCTCACAATTATCCCTTTGCAGAATCTACAAAATGACGGTTTCCAAACTGCTCAGTCAATAGAAAGATTCAAATCTGTGAGATGAATGCACACGTCACAAAGAACTTTCTCAGAATGCTTCTGTCTAGTGTTTATATGAAGATATTTCCTTTTCCACCATGGCCTCAAAGCACTTCAAATATCCAGTTGCAGATTCTACAAAAAGAGAGTTTCAAATCTGCTCAATCAAAAGAATGGTTCAACTCTGTGAGACGAATGCACACATCGCAAAGAAGTTCCTCAGAACGCTTCTGTCTAATTTTTATGTAAAAATATTTCCTGTTTCACCATTTGCTTCAAAGCACTCCAAATATCCGTTTGCAGATACTACAAAGAGACTCCTTCCAAACTGCTCAATCAAAAGAAACGTTCAACGCTGTGTGATGAATGCACACATCACAAAGAAGTTTCTCAGAATGCTTCTGTCTAGTTTTTATGTGAAGATATTTCCTTTTTCACCATAGGTTTCATAGTGCTCCAAATATCCATTTGCATATACTACAAAAAGACTTTTTCTAAACTGCTCAATGAAAAGAAATGTCCAACACTGTGAGATGAATGCACATAACACTAAGAAGTTTCTGAGAATGCTACTGTCTAGTTTTTATGTGAAGATATTTGTTTTTCACCATAGGCCTCAAAGCATTCAAATATCCATATGCATATATCACAAAAAGACTGTTTCCAAACTGCTCAATCAAGAGAAACGTTCAACCCTGTGAGATGAATGCACACATCACAAAGCAGTTTCTCAGAATGCTTCTGTCTAGTTTTTATCTGAAGTTATTTTCTTTTTCACTGTAGGCCTCAATGATCTCCAAATATCCATTTGCAGATACTACAAAAAGACTGTTTCCAAACTACTCAATCAAAAGAAATGTTCAACTCTGTGAGATAAATGCACACATCACAAAGGAGTATCTCAGAATGCTTCTGTCTAGTTTTTATGTGACGGTATTTCCTTTTTCACTATAGGCCTCAAAGTGCTCCAAATTTCCATTTACATATTCTACAAAAAGACTTTTTCTAACCTGCTCAATCAACAGAAAGTTTCAACTCTGTGGACTGAAAGCACACATCACAAAGAAATTTCTCAGAATGCGTCTGTCTAGCTTTTCTCTGAGGATATTTCCTATGTCCCCAGAGGCCACAAGGGACTGACAAATATCCCTTTGCAGCTTCTATAAAAAAGACTGTTTCCAAACTGCGCAATAAAAAGCAAGTTTCAACTCTGTGAGATGAATGCACTCATCACAAAGTAGTTTCTCAGAATGCTTCTGTCTAGTTTTTATGCAAAGATATTTCCTTTTCCACCGTAGGCCTCAAAGCACTCCGAATATCCATTTCCAGATACTACAAAAAGACTTTTTCAAAACAACTCAATCAAAAGAAATGTTCAACTCTGTGAGATGAATGCACACATGACAAAGAAGTTTCTCAGAATGCTTCTGCCTTGTTTTTATGAGATTTTTCCTTTTTCACCATGGGACTCAAAGCACTCCAAATATGCATTTTTCAGATTCTACAAAAAGACTGTTTCTGAACTGCTCAATCAAAAGAAAGTTTCAACTCTGTGGGATGAAAACTCACATCACAAAGTAGCGTCTTAAATTGTTCATGTCGAGCTTTTATGTGAAGATATTTCTGATTTCCCCAAATGCCTCAATGGGCTCACAAATTTCCCTTTTCAAATTCTACAAATCAACTATTTCCAAACTATTCAATCAAAAGAAATATTCAACTCTGTGAGATGAATGCAAACATCACAAAGAAGTTTCTCAGAATGCTTCAGTCCAGATATTATGTGAAGATATTTCCTTTTCAAAAATAGGCCTCAAATCACTCCACATATCCACTTGCAGATACTATAAAAAGACTGTTTCAAAACCGCTCAATCAAAAGAAAGGTTCATCTCTATGAGATATATGCACAAAACACTAAGAAGTTTCTCAGAAAGTTTCTGTCTAGTTTTTATGTGAAGATATTTCCTATTTCCCCATAGGCCTCAATTGGCTCAAAAATTTCCCTTTGCAGATTCTACAAAAAGAGCGTTTCCAAACTGCTTAATCAAAAGAAAGGTTCAACTCTGTGAGATGAATGCACACATGACAAAGTAGTTTCCCAGAATGCTTCTGTGTAGTTTTCATGTGAAGATATTTCCTTTTCCACCATAGGCCTCAAATCGCTCTAAATATCCACTTGCAGATTCTACAAAAAGAGTGTTTCAAAACTGCTCAATCAAAAGAAAGGTTCAACTCTGTGAGATGAATTCACACATCACAAGGGAGTTTCTCAGAATGCTTCTGTCTAGTTTTTATGTGGAGATATTTTCTTTTCTACCATAGGACTAAAGGAGTCCAAATCTCCACTTGCAGATCCTACAAAAAGATTATTTCAAAATTGCTCATTCAAAAGAGAGGTTCAACTCTTTAAGATGAATGTACACATCACAAAGAAGTTTCTCAGAATGGTTCCATCTACTTTTTCTGTGAAGGTGTTTCCTTTTCCACCATACACCTCAAATTGCTCTAAATATCCATTTTCAGATTTTCAGATTCTACAAAAAGACTGTCTCCAAACTGCTCAATCAAAAGAAAGTTTCACCTCTGCAAGAGGAAAGCACACACCACAAAGAAGCTCCTCAGAATGGTTTGTCCAGTTTTTATTTGAAGATATTTTCTATTTCCCCGGAGACCTCAAAGGGCTCACAAATTATCCATTTGCAGATTCTAGAAAAAGATGGTTTCCAAACTCCTCAATCAAAAGACAGTTTCAACTCTGTGAGATGAATGCACACATCACAAAGTAGTTTCTCAGAATGCTTCTGTCTAGTTTTTATGTGAAGATATTTCCTTTTCCACCATAGGACACAAAGCACTCCAAATATCCATTTGCAGATTCTACAAAAGACTCTTTCCAAACTGCTCAATCAAAAGAAAATTTCAACCCTGTGGAAAGAAAGCACACATCACAAGTATTTTCTCAGAATGCTTCTGTCTAGTTTTTATTTGAAGATATTTCCTGTTTCCCCAGAGGCCTCAAAGGGCTCACAAATTATCCCTTTGCAGAATCTACAAAAAAGATGGTTTCCAAACTCCTCAGTCAAAAGACAGTTTCAACTCTGTGAGATGAATGCACACATCACAAAGTAGTTTCTCAGAATGCTTCTGTCTAGTTTTTATGTGATATTTCCTTTTCCACCATAGGCCTCAGAACACTCCAAATATTCATTTCCAGATAGTCCAAAAAGACTGTTTGAAAACTGCTCAATCAAAAGAAAGGTTCAACTCTGTGAGGTGAATGCACACATCACAAAGAAGTTTCTCAGAATGCTTCTGTCTAGTTTTTATGTGAAGGTATTTCCTTTTCCACCATAGGCCTCAAAGCACTACAAATATCCACTTGCAGATTGCACAGAAAGAGGGTTTCAAAGCTACTCGCTCGAAAGACAGGCTCAACTGTGATATGAATGCCCACATCACAAAGAAGTTTCTCAGAATGCTTCTGTCTAGTTATCATGTGAAGATATTTCCTTTTTCACCATAGTCCTCAAATCCTTCCAATTATCCATTTGCAGATTCTCCAAAAAGAGTTTTTCCAAACTGCTCAATCAAAAGTAAGGTTCAACTCTGTGAGTTCAATGCACACATCACAAAGTAGTTTCTCAGAATGCTTCCGACTAATTTTTATATGAAGATATTTCCGTTTCCACCAGAGGCCTCAAAGTGCTTCAAATATCCAATTTCAGATTCTACAAAAAGAGTATTTCAAGACTGCTGAATCAAAAGAAAGTTTCAACTCTTTGAGATGAATGCACACATCACAGAGAAGTTTCTCAGAATGCTTCTGTCTAGTTTTTAGGCGAAGATATTTCCTTTTTTACCATAGACCTCAAAGCGCTCCAAATATCCACTTCCAGATACTACAAAAAGACTGCTTCCAAACTGCTCAATCAAAAGAAAAGTTCAACTCTGTGAGATGAAAGAAGACATCACAGAGGAGTTTCTCAGTGTGCTTAAGTCAAGTTTTAAGTGACGATATTTTGTTTTTCACCATAGGCCTCAAAGTGCTCCAAACAACCATTTGCAGATTCCGTAAAAAGACTGTTTCCAAAATGCTCAATCAAAAGAAAGTTTCAACTCTGTGTGATGAAAGCACACGTCACAAAGAAGTTTCTCAGAAATATTCTGTCTAATTTTTCTGTGAAGACATTTCTTATTTCCCATAGGCCTCAATGGGCTCACAAATCTCCCTCTGCAGATTGTATAAAACGACTGTTTCAAAACTGCTCCATCAAAAGTAAGGTTCAACTCTGTGACATGAATGCACACATCACAAAGAAGTTTCTCAGAATGCTTCTGTCTGGGTTTTAGGTGAAGATATTTCCTTTTCCATGATAGGCCTAAAAGCACTCCAAATATCTACTTGCAGATTCTACAAAAAGACTGTTTCCAAACTGCTCAGTCATAAGAAAGTTTCAACTCTGTGAGATGAAAGCACTCATCACAAAGAGGTTTCTCAGAAAGTTACTGTCTAGTTTTTATGTGAAGATATTTCCTATTTCCCCATAGGTCTCAATGGGCTCACAAATATCCCTTTGCAGATTCTATGAAAAGACTACCTCCAAACTGCTGAATCAAAAGAAAGTTCAGGTTTGTGATATGAATGCACACGATCCAAATAAGTTTCTCAGAAAACTTCTGGTTAGTGTTTTTGTGAAGCTATTTCCTTTTACATCATAGACCTCAAAGCACTCCAAATATCCATTTGAAGATTCTAAAAAAAGAACCTTTCCAAACTTCTCAAGCAAAAGAAAGGTTCATTTCTGTGAGATGAATGCCCTCATCACAAAGAAGTTTCGCAGAATTATTCTGTATGGTTTTTATGTGAAGATATTGCCTTTTGCACCCCTGGCCTTAAACCTGTCCCAAATATACCAATGTAAATATTACAAACAGACTGCTTCGAAGCTGCTCCATCAAAAGAAAGGTGCAACTCTTTGAGATGAATGCACACATCACAAAGATGTTCCTCAGAATGCTTCTGTCTAGTTTTTATATGAAGATATTTCCTTTTCCATCATAGGCCTCAAAGTGCTCCAAATATCCACATGCAGATTCTATTAAAGAGTATTTTGAAACTGCTCAATCAAAAGAAAGGTTCAACTCTGTGAGATGAATGCACACATCACAAAGAAGTTTCTCAGAATGCTTCTGTCTAGTTTTTATGTGAGGATATTTCCTTTTTCGCCATAGGCCTCAAAGCACTACAAATATCCACTTGCAGATTCTACAAAAAGACTGTTTCCAAAATGCTCAATCAAAGAAAGTTTCAGCTCTCTGAGACGAAAGCACAAATCACAAAGAAGTTTCTCACAAATTTTCTGTCTAATTTTTATGTGAATATATTTCCTATTTCCCCATAGGCCTCAATGGGCTTACAAATATCCCATTGCAGATTCTACAGATTGACTGTTTCCGTACTGCTCAATCAGAAGAAACTTTCAACTCTGTGATGTGAATGCACCCATCATAAAGAAGTTTCTCAGAATGTTTCTGTCTAGTATATATGTGAATATATTTCCTTTTCCACTTTAGGCCACAAAGTGCTCAAAATATACACATGCAAATTCTACAAAAAGAGGTTTCCAAAACTGCTCAATGAAAAGAAAAGTTCAACTCTGTGGGATGAATGCTCACATCACAAAGAAGTTTCTCAGAATGCTTCTGTCTAGTTTTTATGTGAAGATATTTCCTTTTCCACCACAGATCTCAAACCACTCCAAATATCCACCTGCAGATTCTAAGAAAAAGAATGTTTCAAAACTGTTCAATCTAAAGAAATGTTCACCTCTGTGAGATGAATGCACATATCACAAAGAAGTTTCTCAGAATGTTTCTGTCTAGTTTTTATGTGAACATATTTCCATGTCAGCCATGTGTCTCAAAACACTCCAAATATCCACTTGTAGATACTACAAAAAGACTGTTTCAAAACTGCTCAAACAAAAGGTTCAACTCTGTGACATGAATGCACACATCACAAAGAAGTTTCTCTGAATGCTTCTGTCTAGTTTTTATGTGAAGATACTTCCTTTTTCAACTTAGGCCTCAAAGCGCTCCAAATATCCATTTGTAGATTGTACAAAAAGGCTCTTTCCAAACCACTCAATCAAAAGAAAGTTTCAACTCAGTGAGATGAAAGCACACATCACAAAGAAGTTTCTCAGAAACTTCCTGTCCAGTTTTTATGTGAAGATATTTCATATTTCCACATAGGCCGCAATGGGATCACAAGTATCCCTTGGCAGATTCTACGAAAAGACTGTTTCCAAACTGCTCAATCAAAAGAAATTTCAGGTTTGTGAGATGAATGAACACAATCCAAATATGTTTCTCAGAAGGCTTCTGTTTAGTGTTTATGTGAAAATATTTCCTTTTTCACCGTTGGCCTCAAAGCACTCCAAATATCCATTTGCAGATTCTACAAAAAGAGTGTTTCCAAGCTGCTCAATCAAAAGAAATGTTCAACTTTGTGAGATGAATGCCCACATCACAAAGAAGTCTTTCAGAACGATTCTGTCCTGTTTTTATATGAAGATATTGCCTTTTTCATCCCTAGCCTTAATCCTGTCACAAATATCCCTCTGCAGATACTACAAAAAGACTGCTTCCAAACTGCTCCATCAAAGGAAATTTCACCTCTGTGAGATGAAAACATACATCACAAAGTAGTCTCTCAGAATGCTTTTGTTTAGTTTCTATGTGAAGATATTTCCTTTTTCACCCCAGGCCTCAAACTGGTCACAAATATCCCTCTGCATATACCACAAAAAGAGTGTTTCCAAACTGCTCTATCAAAAGAAAAGTTCAACTCTGTGAGATGAATGCACACATCACAAATAAGTTTGTCATAATGCTTCTCTCTAGTTTTTATGTGAATATATTTCCTATTTCACCATTGGACTCAAATCGCTGCAAATATCCATTTGCAGATTCTTCAAAAACAAAGCTTCCCACCTGCTCAATCAAAAGAAATGTTCAACTCTGTGAGATGAATGCACACATCAGAAAGAAGTTTCTCAGAATGCTTCTGTCTTGTTTTTATTTAAATATATTTCCTATTATACTGTAGGACAAAAAGGGCTCACAAATATCCCCATGCAGATTCTATGAAAAGTCTCTTTCCAAACTGCTCAATCAAAAGAAAGATTCGAATCTGTGAGATGAATGCACACATCACAAAGAAGTTTCTCAGAATCCTTCTGTCTAGTTTTTATGTGAAGATATTTCCTTTTTCACTATAGGTCTCAAAGCAATCCAAATATAAATTTGCAGACTCTACAAGAAGATTATTTCCAAACTGTTCAGTCAAAAGAGAGGTTCAACCCTGTGAGATGAAAGCATACATCAATAAGAAGTTTCTCAGAAAGCTTCTGTCTAGTTTTTTTTTTCTTTTCTTTTTTTTTTTTAATGTTTTTTTTTTATTATACTCTAAGTTTTAGGGTACATGTGCACATTGTGCAGGTTAGTTACATATGTATACATGTGCCATGCTGGTGCGCTGCACCCACTAACGTGTCATCTAACATTAGGTATATCTCCCAATGCTATCCCTCCCCCCTCCCCCGACCCCACCACAGTCCCCCGAGTGTGATATTCCCCTTCCTGTGTCCATGTGATCTCATTGTTCAATTCCCACCTATGAGTGAGAATATGCGGTGTTTGGTTTTTTGTTCTTGCGATAGTTTACTGAGAATGATGGTTTCCAATTTCATCCATGTCCCTACAAAGGACATGAACTCATCATTTTTTATGGCTGTATAGTATTCCATGGTGTATATGTGCCACATTTTCTTAATCCAGTCTATCATTGTTGGACATTTGGGTTGGTTCCAAGTCTTTGCTATTGTGAATAGTGCCGCAATAAACATACGTGTGCATGTGTCTTTATAGCAGCATGATTTATAGTCCTTTGGGTATATACCCAGTAATGGGATTGCTGGGTCAAATGGTATTTCTAGTTCTAGATCCCTGAGGAATCGCCACACTGACTTCCACAATGGTTGAACTAGTTTACAGTCCCACCAACAGTGTAAAAGTGTTCCTATTTCTCCACATCCTCTCCAGCACCTGTTGTTTCCTGACTTTTTAATGATTGCCATTCTAACTGGTGTGAGATGATATCTCATAGTGGTTTTGATTTGCATTTCTCTGATGGCCAGTGATGATGAGCATTTCTCCATGTGTTTTTTGGCTGCATAAATGTCTTCTTTTGGGAAGTGTCTGTTCATGTCCTTCGCCCACTTTTTGATGGGGTTGTTTGTTTTTTTCTTGTAAATTTGTCTGAGTTCATTGTAGATTCTGGATATTAGCCCTTTGTCAGATGAGTAGGTTGCGAAAATTTTCTCCCATGTTGTCGGTTGCCTGTTCACTCTGATGGTAGTTTCTTTTGCTGTGCAGAAGCTCTTTAGTTTAATTAGATCCCATTTGTCAATTTTGGCTTTGGTTGCCATTGCTTTTGGTGTTTTGGACATGAAGTCCTTGCCCACGCCTATGTCCTGAATGGTAATGCCTAGGTTTTCTTCTAGGGTTTTTATGGTTTTAGGTCTAACGTTTAAATCTTTAATCCATCTTGAATTGATTTTTGTATAAGGTGTAAGGAAGGGATCCAGTTTCAGCTTTCTACATTTGGCTAGCCAGTTTTCCCAGCACCATTTGTTAAATAGGGAATCCTTTCCCCATTGCTTGTTTTTCTCAGGTTTGTCAAAGATCAGGTAGTTGTAGATATGCGGCATTATTTCTGAGGGCTCTGTTCTGTTCCATTGATCTATATCTCTGTTTTGGTACCAGTACCATGCTGTTTTGGTTACTGGAGCCTTGTAGTATAGTTTGAAGTCAGGTAGTGTGATGCCTCCAGCTTTGTTCTTTTGGCTTAGGATTGACTTGGCGATGCGGGCTCTTTTTTGGTTCCATATGAACTTTAAAGTAGTTTTTTCCAATTCTGTGAAGAAAGTCATTGGTAGCTTGATGGGGATGGCATTGAATCTGTAAATTACCTTGGGCAGTATGGCCATTTTCACGATATTGATTCTTCCTACCCATGAGCATGGAATGTTCTTCCATTTGTTTGTGTCCTCTTTTATTTCCTTGAGCAGTGGTTTGTAGTTCTCCTTGAAGAGGTCCTTCACATCCCTTGTAAGTTGGATTACTAGGTATTTTATTCTCTTTGAAGCAATTGTGAATGGGAGTTCACTCATGATTTGGCTCTCTGTTTGTCTGTTGTTGGTGTATAAGAATGCTTGTGATTTTTGTACATTGATTTTGTATCCTGAGACTTTGCTGAAGTTGCTTATCAGCTTAAGGATATTTTGGGCTGAGATGATGGGGTTTTCTAGATAAACAATCATGTCGTCTGCAAACAGGGACAATTTGACTTCCTCTTTTCCTAATTGAATACCCTTTATTTCCTTCTCCTGCCTGATTGCCCTGGCCAGAACTTCCAACACTATGTTGAATAGGAGCGGTGAGAGAGGGCATCCCTGTCTTGTGCCAGTTTTCAAAGGGAATGCTTCCAGTTTTTGCCCATTCAGTATGATATTGGCTGTGGGTTTGTCATAGATAGCTCTTATTATTTTGAAATACGTCCCATCAATACCTAATTTATTGAGAGTTTTTAGCATGAAGGGTTGTTGAATTTTGTCAAAGGCTTTTTCTGCATCTATTGAGATAATCATGTGGTTTTTGTCTTTGGCTCTGTTTATATGCTGGATTACATTTATTGATTTGCGTATATTGAACCAGCCTTGCATACCAGGGATGAAGCCCACTTGATCATGGTGGATAAGCTTTTTGATGTGCTGCTGGATTCGGTTTGCCAGTATTTTATTGAGGATTTTTGCATCAATGTTCATCAAGGATATTGGTCTAAAATTCTCTTTTTTGGTTGTGTCTCTGCCCGGCTTTGGTATCAGAATGATGCTGGCCTCATAAAATGAGTTAGGGAGGATTCCCTCTTTTTCTATTGATTGGAATAGTTTCAGAAGGAATGGTACCAGTTCCTCCTTGTACCTCTGGTAGAATTCGGCTGTGAATCCATCTGGTCCTGGACTCTTTTTGGTTGGTAAACTATTGATTATTGCCACAATTTCAGAGCCTGTTATTGGTCTATTGAGAGATTCAACTTCTTCCTGGTTTAGTCTTGGGAGAGTGTATGTGTCGAGGAATGTATCCATTTCTTCTAGATTTTCTAGTTTATTTGTGTAGAGGTGTTCGTAGTATTCTCTGATGGTAGTTTGTATTTCTGTGGGATCGGTGGTGATATCCCCTTTATCATTTTTTATTGTGTCTATTTGATTCTTCTCTCTTTTTTTCTTTATTAGTCTTGCTAGCGGTCTATCAATTTTGTTGATCCTTTCAAAAAACCAGCTCCTGGATTCATTAATTTTTTGAAGGGTTTTTTGTGTCTCTATTTCCTTCAGTTCTGCTCTGATTTTAGTTATTTCTTGCCTTCTGCTAGCTTTTGAATGTGTTTGCTCTTGCTTTTCTAGTTCTTTTAATTGTGATGTTAGGGTGTCAATTTTCGATCTTTCCTGCTTTCTCTTGTGGGCATTTAGTGCTATAAATTTCCCTCTACACACTGCTTTGAATGCGTCCCAGAGATTCTGGTATGTGGTGTCTTTGTTCTCGTTGGTTTCAAAGAAAATCTTTATTTCTGCCTTCATTTTGTTATGTACCCAGTAGTCATTCAGGAGCAGGTTGTTCAGTTTCCATGTAGTTGAGTGGCTTTGAGTGAGATTCTTAATCCTGAGTTCTAATTTGATTGCACTGTGGTCTGAGAGATAGTTTGTTATAATTTCTGTTCTTTTACATTTGCTGAGGAGAGCTTTACTTCCAACTATGTGGTCAATTCTGTCTAGTTTTTATGTGAAGATATTTCCTATTTCACCATAGGCCATAAAAGGCTCACAAATATCCCACTGCAGTTTCTACAAAAAGACTGTTTCCAAAGTGCTCAATCAAAAGAAAGTTCCAACTCTGAGATGAATGCACACATCACAAATAAGTTTCTTAGAAGTCTTCTGTCTAGTTTATATGTGAGGATATTTCTTTTTCACCATAGGCCTCAAACACCTTGGAAATAGCCCTTCGCAGATTGTACAAAAAGACTCTGTCAAAATGGCTCAATCAAAAGAAAGGTTCAACTGTGTGAGATGAATGCAAACATCACAACGAAGTTTCTTAGAATGCTTCTGTATAGTTTTTATGTTAGTATATTTCCTTTTTCACCACAGGCCCAAAGCTTTTCAAATATCCATTTGCAGATTCTTCAGAAAGACAGTTTCCAAACTGCTAACTGAAAGAAAGCTTCAACTCTGTGAAATAAATGCAGGCATCACAAAAAAAAGGTTCTCAGAATGCTTGTGTCTAGTTTTTATGTGAAGATATTTCCTTTTTCACCATAGGCCTCAAAGCGCTCCAAATATCCACTTGCAGATTCAACAAAAAGAGTGTTTCAGAAATACTCAATCAAAAGAAAGGGTGAACTCTTTGAGATGAATGCACACATCACAAAGAATTTTTTCAGAACGTTTTTGTCTAGTTATGATGTGAAGATAATATGCATTTGCAGATACTACGAAAAGAGAATTTCCAAACTGCTCAAACAAAAGAAAGTTTCACCCCTGTGAGATGAAATCACTCATCCTAAAGAAATTTCCCAGAATGCTTCCATTTAGTTTGTATGTGAAGATATTTCCTTTTTCACCATAGTCCTCAAAGCACTCCAAATATCCATTTGTAGATTTTACAAAAGGACTGTTTCCAAACTTCTACATCAAAAGAAACGTTCAACTCTTAGATAAATGCACACATCACAAATAATTTTCTCAGAATGCTTCTGTATCCTTTTTATGTGAAGTTATTTCCTTTTCACCATAGACCTGAAACAAGTCACAAATGTCCCTGTGTGGATATGACAAAAAGACTGTTGCCAAACTGCTCCATCAAAAGAAAGGTTCAACTCTGTGAGATGAATGCACACATCACAAAGAAGTTTCTCAGAATGCTTCTGTCTAGTTTTTATGTGAAGATAATTCCTTTTCCAACATATGTCTCAAAGCTCTCCAAATATCTCTTTGCAGATTCTACAAAAGGAGTGTTTCCAACCTGCTCAATCAAAAGAACACTTCAACTCTGTGTGATGAATGCACACATCCAAAGAAGTTTCCCAGAATGCTTCTGTCTAATTTCTATGTTAAGATATTTCCTTTTCCACCCCAGGCCTCAAACCTGTCACAAATATCCCTCTGCAAGTACCACAAAAAGACTCTTTCCAAACTGCCCCACCAAAAGAAAAGTTCAACTCTGGGAGATAAATGCACACATCACAAAGAAGTTTCTCAGAATGCTTCTCTCAAGTTTTATGTGAATATATTTCCTATTTCACCATTGGCTTCAAATTGCTACAAATATCCATTTGCAGATTCTGCAAAAACAGTGCTTCCAACCTCCTCAATCAAAAGAAAGGTTCAACTTTGTGAGATGAATGCACACAACAGAAAGAAGTTTCTCAGAATGCTTCTGTCTAGTTTTGATGTGAACATACTTCCTTCTTACCATAGGCCTTAAACCGGTCACAAATATGCCTCTGCAGATACTACAAAAGACTGTTTCCAAACTGCTGCATCAAAAGGAAGTTTCAACTCTGTGAGATGAATGAACGCATCAAAAAGAAGTTTCTCAGAATGCTTCTGCCTCGTTTTTATGTGAAGATATTTCCTTTTTCACCATAGTCCTCAAAGCACTCCAAATATCCATTTGCAAATTCTGCAAAAAGAGTGTTTCCAAACGGCGCAATCAAAAGAAGGGTTCAACAATGTGAGATGAATGCCCACACCACAAAGAAGTTTCTCAGAATGCTTCTGTCTAGTTTTTATTTGAATATATTTCCTTTTTACCATAGGCCTTAAACTGGTCAGAAATATGCCTCTGCACATACTAAAAAAGACTGTTTCCAAACTGCTGCATCAAAAGAAATGTTCAACTCTGTGAGATGAATGCAGACATCACAAAGAAGTGCCTGAGAATGCTTCTGTCTAGTTTTTATGTGAAGATATTTCCTTTTTCACCCTAGGCCTTAAATCTGTCACAAATATCCCACTGCACATATTACAAAAAGACTGTTTCAAAAGTGCTCCATCAATAGAAAGGTACAACTCTCAGAGATGGATGCACACATCACAAAGAAGTTTCTCAGAATGCTTCTGTCTAGTTTTTATGTGAAGATATTTCCATGTTCACCATAGGCCTCAAATCGCTCTAAATATCCATTTGCATATTCTACAAAAAGACTGCTTCCAAACTGCTCAATGAAAAGAAACGTTCAACTCTGTTAGATGAAAGCATACATCACAAAGAAGTTTCTCAGAAATGTTCTGTCAAGTTTTTATGTGAAAATATTTCCAATTACACCATAGGCCATAAAGGGCTCACAAATATCCCTGTGCAGATCTATGAAAAGACTGTTTATCAAACCATGCAATCAAAGGAAAGGTTCAACTCTGTGAGATGAATGCACACATCACAAAGAAGTTTCTCAGAATGCTTCTGTCTAGTTTTTTGTGAGGATATTTCTTTTTCAACATTGGCCTCAAACGGCTCAGACACATACCTTTGCAGCTTGTAAAAAAGACTGTTTCCAAACTGCTCAATCAAAAGAAAGGTTCAACTCTCTGAGATGAATTCAGGCATCATAAAAAAGTTTCTCAGAATGCTTCTGTCTTGTTTTTATGTGAAGATATCTCCTTTTTCACCATAGGCCTTAAACTGGTCACAAATATCCATCTACAGATACTACAAAAAGACTGTTTCCAAAGTGCTCAATCAAAAGAAAGATTCAACTTTGTGAGATGAAAGCATACATAACAAAGAAGTTTCTCAGAAAGCTTCTGTCTAGTTTTTATGTGAAGATATTTCCTATTTCACCATAGGCCATATAAGGCTCACAAATATCCCTGTGCAGATTCTACAAAAAGACTGTTTCAAAACTGCTAAATCAAAAGAGAGGTTCAACTTTGTGAGGTGAATGCATACATCACAAAGGAGATTCTCAGAATGCTTCTGTCTAGTTTTTATGTGAAGATATTTCCTTTTTCAATATAGGCCTTATAACAGTCACAAATATCCCTCTGCAGATACTACAAAAAGAATGTTTACCCACTGCTGCATCATAAGAAAGGTTCAACTCTGTGAGATGAATGCACACATGACAAAGAAGTTTCTCAGAATCCTTCTGTCTAGCTTTTATGTGAAGATATTTTATGTGAAGATATATGAACATAGTTTTGATGTGAAAATATTTCACCATAGGCCATAAAGGGCTCACAAATATCAATGTGCAGATTTTGTGAAAAGACTGCTTCCAAACTGCTCAATCAAAAGAAATGTTCAACTCTGTGAGAAGAGTGCACACATCACAAAAAGTTTCTCAGCATGTTTCTGCCTAGGTTTTATGTGAAGATATTTCTTTTTCACCATAGGCCTCGAACAGCTCAGAAATATCCCTTCACAGATTGTACAAAAACACAGTTTCCAAACTGCTCAATCAAAAGAAAGGTTTAATTCCATGAGATGAATGCAGGCATCACAAAGTATTTTCTCAGAATGCTTCTGTCTAGTTTTATATGAAGATATTTCCTTTTTCACCATAGGCCCCAAATAGCTCCAAATATCCATTTGCAGATTCTAAAAAAAGACTCTTCCCAAACTGCTTAATTAAATGAAAGGTTAAACTCTGTGAGATGAATACACACATCATGAAGAAGTTTCTCAGAATACTTCTGTGTAGTTTTTATGTGAAGATATTTCCTTTTTCAGCATTGGCCTCAAAGAGCTGCAAATATCCATTTTCATGTTCTACAAAAAGACTGTTTCCAAACTGCTCAATCAAAAGAAAGGTTCAATTCTGTGTGATGAAACCATACATTGCACAAAAGTTTCTCAGAAAGCTTCTGTCTAGTTTTTAGGTGAAGATACTTCCTATTTCACCATAGGCCATAAAAGGCTCACAAATATCCCTGTACAGATTCTACAAAAAAGACTCTTTCCAAACTGCTTACTCAAAAGATAGGTGCAACTTCATAAGATGAATGCGCAGATCACGTAGAAGTTTCTTAGAAAGCTTCTGTTTACTTTTTATGTGAATATATTTCGTTTTTTCACCATAGGCCTGGCCTCAAAGTGCTAAAATATCCATTTGCAGATTCTACAAAAAGACGGTTTCCAAACTCCTCAATAAAAAGAATGGTTCAAGTCTGAGAGATGAAAGCACACATCACAAAGAAGTTGCTCACAATTCTTCTGTCTGATTTTTATGTTAAGATATTTCCTTTTCACCATATGTCACAAAGTGCTCCAAATATCCCTGGGCGAATTCTACAAAAGGCTGTTTTGAAACTGCTTAATCAAAACAAAGTTCCAACACTGTGAGATGAAGCACACATCACAAAGAAGTTTGTCAGAAAGCTTCTGTCTGGTTTTTAAGTGAAGATATTTCCTATTTCAACATAGGCCTCAATGGGCTCACAAATATCTCTTTACAGATTGTACAAAAAGACTGGTTCCAAACTACTCCATCAAAAGAAAGTTTCAACTCACTGAGAGGAATGCACACATCACAAAGAAGTTTCTCAGAATGCTTCTGCATAATATTTATGTGAAGACACTTCTTTTTCACCATAGGCCTCAAAAAGCTCAGAAATAGCCCTTTGCTGATTGTGCAAACAGATTTTTTCCAAACTGCTCAATCAAAAGAAAGCTTCAAGTCTTTGAGGTGAATGCACACATCACAAGGAAGTTTCTCAGAAAGATTCTGTCTAGTTTTCATGTGAATATATTTCCTTTTTCACCATAGGCCTCCAACTGCTGAAAATTAACCCTCTGTAGAGAGTACAAAAAGACTGTTTCCAAACTGCGCAATCAAAAGAAAGGTTCACCTCTGTGAGATGAATGCACACAACACAAAGAAGTTTCTCAAAACGCTTCTCTCTAGTTTTCCAGTGAAGACATTTCCGTTTTCATCATAAGGTCAAACTGCTCACAAATATCTCTCTGCAGAATCTACAAAAAGACTCTTTACAAACTGCTCAAGCAAAAGAAGTTTCAACTCTGTGCAATGAATGCACACATCACAAAGTAGTTTCTCAGAAACCCTCTGTCTAGTTTCTATGTGAAGATATTTCCTTTTTCAACATAGGCCTCAAAGCACTTCAAATATCCATTTGCACATTCTATAAAAAGATGGTTTCCAAACTGCTCAATTAAAAGAAAGGTTCAACCCTGTGAGATGAAAGCACACATTACAAAGCAATTTCTCAGAATGCTTCCGTCTAGTTTTTATGTAAAGATATTTCCATTTTCACCATAGGCCTCAAGCCACTCACAAATATCCCTCTGCAAATTGCACAAAAAGACTGTTTCCAAACTGATCAATCAAAAGAAATGTTCAACTCTGTGACATGAAAGTACACATCAAAAACAAGTTTCTCAGAAAGATTCTGTCTAGTTCTTATGTGAAGATATTTCCTTTTTCATGATAGGCCTTAATGCGCTAACAAATATCCCATTGCAGATTCTACATAAAGACTGTTTCCAATCTGCTCAATCAAAAGAAAGTTTCAAATCCATGAGATGAATGCACACATCACAAAGAAGTCTCTCAAAAACATTATGTCTAGTTTTTATGTGAAGATATTTCATTTTTCACCACAGTCCTCAAAGCGCTCAAAATATCCATTTACAGATTCCACAAAAAGGCTGTTTCCAAACTGCTCAATCAATAGAAAGCATCAAAACTGTGAGATGAAAGTGCACCTCACAAAGAAGTTTCTCAGAAAGCTTCTGTCTAGTTTTTATGTGAAGATACTTCCTATTTCACCATAGACCTCAATGGGCTCACAAATATCCCTTCGCAGATTCTACAAAAAGACTGTTTACAAACTGCTCAATCAAAAGAAAGGTTCAACACTTTGAGATAAATACACACATCACAAAGAAGTTTCTAAGAATGCTTCTGCTTAGTTTTTATGTGAAGATATTTCCTTTTTCACCATATGCCTCAAACGGCTCAAACACATCCTTCTGCAAATACTTCAAAAAGACTGTTTCCAAACTGCTCAATCAAAAGAAAAGTTCAACTCTGTGAGATGAATGCACACATCACAAAGAAGTTTCCCAGAAATTTTGTGTCTAGTGTTTATGTGAAGATATTTCTTTTTCACCATAGGCCTCAAACCACTCAGAAATTTCCCCTTGCACATTGTATAAAAAGACTGTTTCCAAAGTGCTACATTAAAAGAAAGGTTCAACCTTGTGAGATGAATGCACATATCACAAATAAGTTTCTCAAAAAGATTCTATCTAGTGTTTATGTGAAGATATTTCCTTTTTTCACCTTAGGCCTCAAAGCGCTCCAGTATCCATTTGAAGATTCTACAAAAAGACTGTTTCCACACTACTCAATCAAAAGAAAGGTTCACATCTGTGAGATGAAAGCACACATCACAAAGAAATTTCTCAGAAAGATTCTGTCTAATTTTTATGTGAACATATTACCTGATTTCACCATAGGCTTCAAAGCGCTCCAAATATCCATTTGCAGAGTCTACAAAATGACTGTCTCCAAACTGCTCAATCAAAAGAAAAGCTCAACTCTGTGAGATGAAACACACAACAAAAAGAAGTTTCTCAGAATGTGTCTGTCTAGTTTTTATGTGAAGATATTTCCTATTTCACCATAGGCCTCAAAGGGCTCACAAATATCCCTTTGCAGATTCTACAAAAGACTGCTTCCAGACTGCACAATGAATAGAAAGATTCAAATGTGTGAGATGAATGCAAGCATCAAAAGAAGTTTCTCAGAATGCTTGTGCCTAGTTTTTACGTGAAGATATTTCTTTTTCACCATAAGCCTCAAAACGCTAACAAATATCCCTCTGAGGAATCTACAAAAAGACTGTTTTTCAAACTGCTCAATCAGAAGAAAGTTTCAACTTTGTTAGATGAATGCACAAATCAAAAAGAACTTTCTCAGAAAGTGTCTGTCTAGTTTTTATGTGAAGATATTTCCTTTTTCACCACAGGCCTCAAAGTGCTGTAAATATCCATTTGCAGTTTCTATGAAAAGACTGTTTCCAAACTGTTCAATCAAAAGAACGGTTCAACTCTGTGAGATGAAGGCATACATCACTAGAAGTTTCTCAGAAAGCTTCTGTTTAGTTTTTATGTGAAGATATTTCCTTTTTCACCATAGGCCTCAAAGGGCTCACAAATATCCCTTTTCAGATTCTACAAAAAGACTGTTTCCAAACTGCTCAATTAAAAGGAAGTTTCAAATCTGTGAGATGAATGCACACATGACAAAGAAGATTCTCAGAATGCTTCTGTCTTGTTTTTATGTGAAGATATTTCCTTTTTCACCATTGACCACAAAGCACTCCAAATATCCACTTGCAAATTGTACAAAAGTCTGTTTCCAAACTGCTCAATCGAAAGAAAGGTTCAGCTCTGTGAGATGAAAGCACAAATCACAAAGAAGTTTCTCAGAAAGCTTCTGTCTAGTTTTTATGTGAATATTTTTCCTATATCACCATATGCCTCAAAGAGTTACAAATGTCTCTTTTCAGATTCTACAAAAAGACTCTTTCCAAACTGCTCAATCAAAAGAAACGTTCAGCAATGTGAGATGAATGTACAAATCACAAAGCAGTTTCTCAGAATATTTCTGTGTAGTTTTTATGTGAAGACATTTCCTTTTTCACATAGGACTCAAACCGCTCACAAATATCCCTCTGCATATTCTATGAAAAGACAGTTTATAAACTTCTCAATCAAAAAGAAGTTTGAACTCTGTGAGATTAATGCACAAATCACAAAGAAGTTTCTCAGAATGCTTCTGTCTAGTCTTTGTTTGAAATATTTCCTTTGTTACAAAGGACTCAAAGCTCTCCAAATATCCATTTGCAAATGCTACAAAAAGGCTGTTTCCAATAAGCTCAATCAAAAGAAAGCTTCAACTCTATGAGGTGAAAGCACACATCACAAAGAAGTGTCTCAGAAATCTTCTGTCTAACTTTTATGTGAAGATGTTTCTTTTTTACCATAGCCTCAAACCACTCACAAATATCCCTTTGCATATTACACAAAAAGACTGTTTCCCAAACTGCTCAACCAAAAGAAACTCTCAACCCTGTGAGATAAATGCACACATCACATAGCAGTTCCTCAAAAACTTCTGTCTAGTTTTTATGTGAAGATATTTCCTTTTGCACCATAGGTCTCAAACCTCTCACAAATATCCCTCTGCAGATTCGACTAAGAGATGGTTTCCAAACTGCTCAATGAAAAGAAATTTTCAACTCAGTGAGATGAATACACACATCCAAAGAAGTTTCTCAAAAAGCTTCTGTCTACTTTTTATGTGAAGATATTTCCTTTTTCACCAGAGGCCTCAAACCAATCACAAATATCTCCCTGAGGAATCCACAAAAAGACGGTTTCCAAAGTGCTCAATCAAAGCAAAGTTTCAACCCAATGAGATGAATGCACACATCACAAAGAAGTTTCCCAGAAAGCTTCTGTCTAGTTTTTATTTGAAGATATTTCATTTTTCACCATAGACCTCAAAGCTCTTTAATATCCCTTTGCAGATTCTACACAGAGATTGTTTCCAAACTGCTCTATCAAAAGAAAGGTTCGACTCTATGTGATGAAAGCACACACCACAAAGAAGTTTCTCAAAAAGCTTCTGTCTAGTTTTTATGTGAAGATATTTCCTTTTTCACCATAGGCCTCAAACTGCTCAGAATTATCCCTCTGCAAATTGTACAAAAATATTGTTTCCAATCCGCTCTATCAAAAGAAAGGTTCGACTCTATGTGATGAAAGCACACACCACAAAGAAGTTTCTCAAAAAGCTTCTGTCTAGTTTTTATGTGAAGATATTTCCTTTTTCACCATAGGCCTCAAACTGCTCAGAATTATCCCTCTGCAAATTGTACAAAAATACTGTTTCCAATCCGCTCAATCAAAAGTAAGGTTCAAATCCGTGAGATGAATGCATACATCACAAAGAGGTTTCTCAGAAAGCTGCTATTTACTTTTTACGTGAAGATATTTCATTTTTCACCATAGTCCTCAAAGCGCTCCAAATATCCACATGCAGATTCTACAAAAAGACTGTTTCCAAACTGCTCAATCAAAAGAAAGATTCAACTCTGTGAGATGAAAGAACACATCTTCAAGAAGTTTCTCAGAAAGTTTCTGTCTGGTTTTCATGTGAAGATATTTCCTTTTTCATTGTAGTCCTTAATGGACTCACAAATATCCCTTTGCAGATTGTACAACAAGACTCTTTCAAAACTGCTCATTCAAAATAAAGGTTCAGCTCTGTGAGATGAATACACACATCACGAAGAAGTTTCTGAGAATCCTTCTGTGTAGTTTTCTGTGAAGATATTTCCTTTTTCAGATAGGAATCAAACCACTCACAGATTTGCAAAAAGACTCTTTCCAAAGTGCACAATCAAAAGAAAGGTTCAGCTCCCTGAGATGAATGCACACATGACAAAGAAGATTCTCAGAATGCTTCTGTCTAGTTTTTATGTGAAGATATTACCTTTTTCACGATAGGCCTCAAACCACTCACAATTATCTCTCTGCAGATTCTACAAAAAGACTGTTTCCAAAGTTCTCTATGAAAAGAAAGTTCAACTCTGTGAGATGAATTCCCACATCACAAAGAAGTTTCTCAGAACGTTTTTGTCTAGTTTTTATGTAAAGATATTTCCTTTTCCACCATAGGCCTCAATCTGCTCACAAACATCCCTCTGCAGATTCTAAAAACAGACTGTTTCCCTGAACAACCTGCTCCTGAATGACCACTGGGTATATAATGAAACGAAGGCAGAAATAGAGATTTTCTTTGAAATCAATGAGAACAATGACACAACATACCAGAATCTCTGGGACACATTCAAAGCAGTGTGTACAGGGAAATTTATAGCAATAAATGCCCACAAGAGAAAGCAGGAAAGATCAAAAATTGACAACCTAACATCACAATCGATTGAGCTAGAAAAGCAAGAGCAAACACATTCAAAAGCTAGCAGAAGGCAAGCAATAACTAAGATCAGAGCAGAACTGAAGGTAATAGGACACAAAATCCCTTCAAAAAATTAATGAATCCAGGAGCTGTTTTTTGAAAGGATCAACAAAATTGATAAACCACTAACAAGACTAATAAAAAAGAAAAGAGAGAAGAATCAAAGAGACACAATAAAAATTGATAAAGGGGATATCACAACTGATCCCACAGAAATACAAGCTACCATCAGAGAATACTATAAACACCTCTACATAAATAAATTAGAAAATCTAGAAGACATTGATAAATTCCTCAACACATACATCCTCCCAAGACTCAACTAGGAAGAAGTTGAATCTCTGAATAGATCAATAGCAGTCTCTGAAATTGAGGCAATAATTAATAGCTTACCAACCAAAAAAAGTCCAGGACCAGATGGATTCACAGCCGAACTCTACCAGAGGTAAAAAGAGGAGTTGGTACCATTCCTTCTGAAACTATTCCAATCAATAGAAAAAGAGGGAATCCTCCCTAACTCATTTTATGAGGCCAGCATCATCCTGATAACAAAGCCTGGCAGAGACACAACCAAAAAAAGATAATTTTAGACAAATATCCTTGATGAACATTGATGCAAAAATCCTCAATAAAATACTGGCAAACCGAAACCAACAGCACATCAAAAAGCTTGTCCACCATGATCAAGTGGGCTTCATCCCTGGGATGCAAAGCTGGTTCAACCTATGCAAATCAATAAACGTAATCCAGCATATAAACAGAACCAAAGACAAAAACCACATGATTATCTCAATAGATGCAGAAAAGGCCTTTGACAAATTTCAACAACCCTTCATGCTAAAAACTCTCAATAAATTAAGTATGATGGGATGTATCTCAAAATAATAAGAGCTATCTATGACAAACCCACAGCCAATATCATACTAAATGGGCAAAAACTGGAAGCATTGCCTTTGAAAACGGGCACAAGACAGGGATGCCCTCTCTCACCACTCCTATTCAACGTAGTGTTGGAAGTTTTGACAAGGGCAATCAGGCAGGAGAATGAAATAAAGGGTATTCAATTAGGAAAAGAGGAATTCAAATTGTCCCTGTTTGCAGATGACATGATTGTACATCGAGAAATCCCCATCATCTCAGCCCAAAATCTCCTCAAACTGATAAGCAAATTCAGCAAAGCCTCAGGATACAAAATAAATGTACAAAAATCACAAGCACTCTTACACATCAATAACAGACAAACAGAAAGCCAAATTCTGAGTGAACTCCCATTCACAATTGCTTCAAAAACAATAAAATACCTAGGAATCCAACTTACAAGGGATGTGAAGCACCTCTTCAAGGAGAACAACAAACCTCTGCTCAATGAAATAAAAGAGGATACAAACAAATGGAAGAACATTCCATGCTCATGGGTAGGAAGAATCAATGTCGTGAAAATGGCCATACTGCCCAAGGTAATTTACAGATTCAATGCCATCCCCATCAAACTACCAATGACATTCTTCACAGACTTGGAAGAAACTACTTTAAACTTCATATGGAACCAAAAAAGAGGCTGCATCACCAAGTCAATCCTAAGCCAAATGAGTAAAGCTGGAAGCATCACGCTACCTGACTTCAAACTATACTGCAAGGCTACAGTAACCAAAACAGCATGGTACTTGCAGCAAAACAGAGATATAGATCAATGGAACAGAACAGAGCCCTCAGAAATAGTGCCACGTATCTACAACTATCTGATCTTTGACAAACCTGACAAAAACAAGCAATGGGGACAGGATTCCCTATTTAATAAATGGTTCTGGGAAAACTGGCTAGCCGTATGTAGAAAGCTGAAACTGGATCCTTTCCTTACACCTTATACTAAAATTAATTCAAGATGAATTAAACACTTAAATGTTAGACCAAAAACCATAAAAACCCTAGAAGAAAACCTAGGCAATACCATTCAGGACATAGGCAACATAGGCATGGGCAAGGAAAAACAACAAAAGCAATGACAACAAAAGCCAAAATTAACAAATGAGATCTAATTAAACTAAAGAGCTTCTGCACAGCAAAAGAAACTACCATCAGAGTGAACAGGCAACCTACAGATTGGGAGAAAATTTTTGCAGCCTACTCATCTGACAAAGGGCTAATATCTAGAATCTACAATGAACTCAAACAAATTTACAAGAAAAAACAAACAACCCTATCAAAAAGTGGGCAAAGAATATGAACAGACACTTCCCAAAAGAAGACATTTATGCAGCCAAAAAACACGTGAAAAAACGCTCATCATACCTGGCCATCATCGAAACGCAAATCAAAACTACTATGGGATACCATCTCACACCAGTTAGAATGCTGATCATTAAAAAGTCCGGAAACAACAGGTGCTGGAGAGTATGTGGAGAAATAGCAACAGTTTTACACTGTTGCTGGGACTGTAAACTAGTTCAACCATTGTGGAAGTCAGTGTGGTGATTCCTCAGGAATCTAGAACTAGAAATACCATTTGAACCAGCCATCCCATTACAGGATATATACCCAAAGGATTATAAATCTTGCTGCTATAAAGACACATGCACATGTATGTTTATAGCAGCACTATTCACAATAGCAAAGACTTCGAACCAACCTAAGTGTCCAACAATGATAGACTGGATTAAGAAAATGTGACACATATACACCATGGAATACTATACAGCCATCAAAAGTGATGAGTTCATGTCATTTGTAGGGACATGGATGAAACTGGAAACCATCTTTCTGAGCAAACTATCGCAAGGACTAAAAACCAAACACCGCATGTTCTCACTCATAGGTGGGAATTGAACAATGAGAACACATGGACACAGGAAGGGGAACATCACACACCGGGGACTGCTGGGGCTGGGGGGAAGGGTGGTGGATAGCATTAGGAGATATATCTAATGCTAAATTACGAGTTAATGGGTGCAGCACGAAAACATGGCACATGTATACATATGTAACAAAACTGCACGTTGTGCACATGTACCCTAAATCTTAAAGTATAATAATAATGAAATAAAAAATTAAAAAGGTACCCTGAGAACCTCTGATTCAAATAAAGAACAGAGTTAATAAGAGTTTTCCTAAAAAAAAAAAGAGGAGTTTCTCAGAAAGCTTCTGTCTAGTTTTTATTTGAAGGCATTTCCTATTTCACCGTAGACCTCTATGGGCTCACAAATATCCCTTTGCAGATTATACAAAAAGACTGTTTCCAAACTGCTCCATCAAAAGAAAGGTTCACTCTGTGAGATGAAAGAACACATAACAAAGAAGTTTCTCAGAATGCTTCTGTCTAGTTTTTATGTGAAGATATTTCCTATTACACCATAGGCCTCAATTTGTTCAAAAGTATCTATTACAGATTCTACAAAAAGTCTGTTTCCAAACTGCTTAATAAAAAAAGTTTCAATCTGTGAGATGAGTACACACATCACAAAGAAGTTTCTCAGAATGCTTCTCTCTAGTTTTTATTTGAAGATATTTCCTTCTTCACCGTAGGCCTAAAACTGCTCACATATATCCCTCTGCAGATTCCACAAAAAGACTGTTTCCAAACTGCTCAATCAAAAGAAAGTTTCAACTCTGTGAGATGAATGCAGACATCACAAAGATGTTTCTCAGAAATCTTCTGTTTAGTTTTTATGTGACGATATTTCCTTTTTCACTATAAGCCTTAAAGCGTTCCAATATCCATTCGCAGATTCAACAAAAAGGCTGTTCCCAAACTGCTCAATCAAAAGAAAAGTTCAACTCTTGAGATGAATGCACACATCACAAAGAAGTTTATCAGAATCTTTCTGTATGGTTTTTTTGTGAAGATACTTCTTTTTCACCATCGGCCTTAATGGGATCACAAATATCCCTTTGCAGATTCTACAAAAACAGTTTCCAAACTGCTCAATCAAAAGAAAGATTCAACTCTCTGAGATGAATGCAGACATCACAAAGAAGTTTCCCAGAAAGGTTCTGTCTAGTTTTTAAGTGAAGATTTCCTTTTTCACCATAGGCCTTAAAGCACTTTGAATATCCATTCGTAGATTCCACAAAAAGACTGTTTCCAAACTGCTCAATGAAACGAAAGGTTCAACTCTGTGACATGAAAGCACACATCTCAGAGAAGTTTCTCAGAAACCTTCTGTTTAGTTTTCATGTGAAGATATTTCCTGTTTCGCCATAGACCTCAAAGGGCTCACAAATATCCCTTTGCAGATTCCACAAAAAGACTGTTTGCAAAGTGCTCAATCAAAAGGAAGGTTCAACACTGTGAGATAAATGCACACATCACAAAGACGTTTCTCAGAATGCCTCTGTCTAGTTTTTATGTGAAGATATTTCATTTTCACCAAAGGTCTCAAACCGCTCAGAAATATCCCTTTGCAGATTGTACAAAAAGACCGTTTCCAAACTGCTCAATAAAGAGAAAGTTTCATCTCTGTGAGATGAATGCAAACATCACAAATAAGTTTCTCAAAAAACTTCTGTCTAGCTACTATATGAAGATATTTCCTTTTTCACCATAGGCCTCAAAGTGCTCAGAAATATCCCTTTGCAGATTCTACAAAAAGACTGTTTGCAAACTGCTCAATCAAAAGAAAGCTTCAACTCTGTTTGATGAATGCACACTTCACAAAGAAGTTTCTCAGGATGCTTCTGTCTAGTTTTTATTTAAAGATATTTCCTATTTCACCATAGACCTCATGTGGCTCACAAATATCCCTTTGCAGATTCTGCAAAAAGACTTTTTCCAAACTGCTCAATCAAAATAAATGTTCAACACTGTGAGATGAATGCACACATCACAAATAAATTTCTCAGACAACTTCTGTCTAGTTTTTATGTGAAGATATTTCATTTTTCAACATTTGCTTCAATGAGCTTCAAACATCCCTTTGCATATTCTACAAAAACACTGTTTCCAAACGGCTCAAACAAAAGAAAAGTTCAACTCTGGGAGATGAATGCACACATCACAAAGAAGTTTCTCAGAAAGCTTCTATCTAGTTTCTATGTGAAGATATTTCCTTTTCCACCATAGGCCTCAATGCACACAAAATATGCCTTGACAGATTCTACAAAAGACTGGTTCCAAACTGCTCAATCAAAATAAGGGTTCTACTCTGTGACGTGAATGCACACATCATAAGAAGCTTCTCAGAAAGCTTCTGTCTGGTCTTTATGTTGAGATATTTCCTTTTTCACCATTTGAATCAAAGAGCTCCATATATCTATTCACAGATTCTACATAAAGACAGTTGCAAAACTGCTCAATGAAAAGAAATTTTCAAATCTGTGAGATGAATGCACACATCACAAAGAAGCTTCTTAAAAAGCTTGTCTAGTTTTTATGTGAAGATATTTCCTTTTACACCATAGGCCTCAAATCACTCACAAATATACCTCTGCAGATTCTACAAAAGGACTGTTTCCAAACTGCTCAATCAAAAGAAAGTTTCAACTCTGTGAGATGAATGCACATACCACAAAGTAGTTTCTCAGGAAGCTTCTGTCTAGTTTTTATGTGAAGATATTTGCTTTTTTACCATGGGCCTCAAAGTTTTCCCACTATCCCTTTGTAGACTGTACAAAAGGACTGTTTGCAAACTGATCAATCAAAAGACAGTTTCAACTCTGTGAGATGAAAGCATACAACACAGAGAAGTTTCTTAGAAAGCTTCTTTGTAGTTTTTATGTGAAGATATTTCCTTTATCACCATAGGCCTCAAAGGGCTCATAATTATCCCTTTGAAGATTCCATAAAAAGACAGTTTCCAAACTGCTCAATCAAAAGAAAGTTTCAACTCTGTGAGATAAGTGCACACATCACAAAGAAGTTTCTCAGAAAGCATCTGTCTAGTTTTATGTGAAGATTTTTCTTATTTACCATAGGCTGCAAAGCACTCCAAATATGCCTTTGCAGATTCTACAAAAAGACTGTTTCCAAACTGCTCAAAGAAAAAAAAGTTCAAATCTGGGAGATGAATGCACACGTCACAAAGAAGTTTCTTGGAAAGCTTCTGTATAGTTTTTATATTGAGAAATTTCCCTTTCCACCATGGACCTCAAAGCACTCCAAGCATCCATACACAGATGCTACAAAAAGAAAGTATGCAAACTGCTCAAATAAAAGAAATGTTCAAGTCTGGAGGTGAAAGCCCACATCACAAAGGAGTTTCTGAGAAAGCTTCTGTCTAGTTTTTATGTGAATATTTTCCTTATTCAACATAGGCCTCAAAGCACTCCGTATATCCATTCGCAGATTCTACAAAAAGACTGGTTAGAATCTGATCAATGAAAAGAAAGGTTCACCTCTGTGAGACGAATGCAGACTTCACAAAGAAATTTCTCAGAATGCTTCTGTCTATTTTTTATGTGAAGACACTTTCTTTTTAAACAGAGGCCTCAATGCATGCTAAATATCCATTTGCAGATTCTGCAAAAATACAGTTTCCACACTTCTCAATCAAAATAGATGTTCAATTCAGTGAGATAAAAGCACACATCACCAATAAGTTTCTCAGAAAGCTTCTGTCTGGTTTTTATGTGAAGATATTACCTATTTCTTTCTAGGCCTCAATGGGCTCACAAATATCCCTTTGCAGATTCTACAAAAAGACTGTTACCAATCTGCTCCATCAAAAGAATCTTTCAACTCTTTGAGATGAATGCACTCATCACAAAGAAGTTTCTCAGAATGCTTCCATCTAGTTTTTATGTGAAGACATTTCATTTTTCACCATTCTCTTTAAAGAGCTTCAAATATCCCTTTGCAGGTTCTACAGAAACACTGTTTCCAAGCATATCAATCAAAAGAAAGGTTCAACTTTGGGAGATGAATGCACACATCAGAAAGAAGTTTCTCAGAAAGCTCCTTTCTAGTTTTTATGTGAAGATGTTTCCTTTTCCACCATAGGCCTCAATGCACACCTAATATGCATTGGCAGATTCTACAAAAAGACTGTTTCCAAACTGCTTAGTTTTTATGTTGTGATATTTCCTTTTACACCACTTGACTCAAAGCACTCCATATATCCATTGGCAGATTCTACAAAAAAACGGTTTCCAAACCACTCAATCAAAAGAAAGTTTCAACTCTGTGAGATGAAAGCACACATCACAAAGAAGTTTCTCAGAAAAATGATTTTTATTATTTATGTGAAAATATTTTCCTTTTCACCATAGGCCACCAAGGGCTCACAAGTATCCCTTTGAAGATTCTACAAAATACTGTTTCCAAACTGCTCAATCAAAAGAAAGTTTCAACTCCATGAGATGAACGCACACATAACAAAGAAGTTTCTCGAAAAGCTGTTGTCTAGTTTTTATGTGAAGATATTTCCTTTTTCACCATAGGCCTCAAAAGGCTCACAAGTATCCCTCTGCAGAATCTGCAAAAAGCATTTTTCCAAGCTACTCAATCAAAAGAAATTTTAAACTCTGTGAGATAAATGCACACATCACAAAGAAGTTTCTTGGAAAGCTTCTGTCTAGTTTTAATGTGAAGATATTTCCTTTTTAACCATAGGACTCAAAGCACTGCAAATATCCACTTGCAGATACTACAAAAAGGATGCTTCCAGAGTGCTCAATCAAAAGAAAGATTCAAGTCTGTGAGATAAAAGCACACAACACAAAGAAGTTTCTCTGAAAGTTTCTGTCTAGTTTTTATGTGAAGATAGTTCCTATTTCACCACAGGCCTCAAAGGGCTCACAAATATTCCTTTGCATATTCTACAAAAAGACTGTTTCCAAACTGCCCAATATAAAGAAATGTCCAACTCTGTGAGATGAATGCACACATCAAAAAGAAGTTTCTCAGAATCCTTCTGTCTAGTTTTTATGTGAAGATGTTACTTTTTCACCATGGACCTGAAAACGCTCAGAAATATCACTTTGCAGATTGTACAAAAAGACTATTTCCAAACTTCTCAATGAAAAGAAAGCTTCAACTCTGTGAGATGAAAGCACACATCCCAAACAGGTTTCTCAAAATCTTCTGTCTACTTTTTATATGAAGTTATTTCACTTTTCACCATATTCCTCAAACCTCTTACAAGTATCTCTATGCAGGTTCAACAAAAAGTCTGTTTCCAAAGTGGTGAATTAAAGGAAAGGTTAAATTCTGTGAGATGAATTCACACATCACAAAGAAGTATCTCAGAAAGCTTCTTTCTAGTATTTATTTGAAGATATTTCCTTTTTCACTATAGGCCTCAAAGTGTTCCAAGTATCCCATTGCAGATTCTAAAAAAAAGACTTTCCAAACTGCTTATCAATTGAAAGGTTCAACTTTCTGAGATGAATGTATACATCACAAATAAGTTTCTCAGAGAGCTTCTGTCTAGTTTTTTTGAGAAATTTCTTTTTTCACCATATACCTCAAATTGCTCCATATATCCCTTTGCAGATTCTACAAAAAGACTGTTTCCAAACTTCTCAAACATGAAAAGAAAGTACCAACTCTGGGAGACGAATGTACACATCAAAAAGATGTTACTCAGAAAGGTTATATATACTTTTCATTTAAAGATATTTACTTTTACACCAAAGGTCTCAAATTGCTCCAAATATCCCTTTGCAGATTCTACAAAAAGACTGTTTCCAAACATATCAAGGAAATGAAAGTTTCTACTCTGGGAGATGAAAGCACACATCACAAAGAAGTTTCTCAGAAAGCTTCTGTCTAGTTTTTATGTGAAGATATTTCCTTTTTCAACATAGGACCCAATGAGCTCCACATATCCATTGGCAGATACTAAAAAAAAGGCTGTTTCTTAACTGCTCAATGAAAAGACAGTTTGAACACTCTGAGATGAATGCACACATCACAAAAAATTTTCTTAGACAGCTTCTGTCTAGTTTTCATGTGAAGACATTTCATTTTTCACCAAACACCTCAAAGCACTCCTAATATCCCTTGTCAGATTCTACAAAAAACTGTTTCTAAACTGCTCAATCAAAAGAAAGTTTCAACACTGTGAGATAAATGCACACATTACAAAGAATTTTCTTAGACAGATTCTGTCTACTTTTTATGCGAAGGTATTTCATTTTTCATCATATGCCTCAAAAGTCTCACAAATATTCCATTGCAGATTCTACAAAAAGACGGTTTGCAATGTGCTCAATCAAAAGAAATGTTCAACTCTGGGACATGAGTGCACACATAATGAAGAAGTTTCTCAGAACACTTCTGTCTAGTTTTTATGTCAAGATATTTCTTTTTCACCATAGGCCACAAACCGCTCAGAAATATCACTTTGAAGATTGTAAAAAAAGACTGCTTCCAAACTTCTCAATGAAAAGAAAGGTTCACCTCTGTGACATGAATGCAAAAATCATAAAGAAGTTTCTGAAAAATCTTCTGTATTGTTTTAAAATGAAGATACTTCCTTTTACACCATAGTCCTCAAACCACTCACAAATATCCCTCTGCAAATGTACAAAAGGACTGTTTCCACATGGCTCAATCAAAGGAAAGGTTCAACTCTTTGAGATGAATGCACACATCACAAAGAAATTTCTCAGAAATCTTCTGTCTCGTTTTTATGTGAAGATAATTCCTTTTTCACCATAGGTCTCAAAGCGCTCCAAATATCCATTTGCAGATCCTGCAAAAAGATGGTTTCCAAACTGCTCTATTGAAATAAAGGTTCAACACTGTGAGATGAAAGCACACATCACAAAGAAGTTTCTCAGAAAGCTTCTCTCTACTTTTTATGTGAAGATATTTCCTTTTTCACCATAGGCCAAAAAGGGCTCAGAAATATCCCTTTGCAGATTCTACAAAACGACTGTTTCCAAACTGCTCAATCAAAAGACAGTTTCAACTCTGTAAGATGAATGCATGCATCACAAAGAAGTTTCTCAGAATGCTTCTGTCTAGTTTTTATGTGAAGATATCTCATTTTTCACCATAAGCCTCAAAGCGCACCAAATATCCATTTGCAGGTTGTACAGAAAGACAGTTTCCAAACTGCTCAATCAAAAGAAAGCATCATCTCTGTGAGTTGAAAGCACACATCAAAAGGAGTTTCTCAGAAAGCTTTTGTCTATTTTTTACGTGAAGACATTTCCTATTTCACCATAGGCCTCAAATTGTTTACAAATAACCCTTTGCAGATTCTACAAAAAGACTCTTTTCAAACTTCTCAATCAAAGTAAAGTTTCAAAACTGTGAGATGAATGCACACATCAAAAGAAGTTTCTCAAAAAACTTCTGTCTAGTTTTTCTGTGAAGATATTTCCTTATTCACCATAAACCTCAAACCACTCACAAATATCCCTCTGCAAATTGTACAAAAAGACTGTTTCCAAAGTGCTCAATCAAAAGAAAAGTTCAACTCTGTGAGATGAATGCATGCATCAAAAAGGAGTTTCTCAGAATGCTTCCATCTAGTTTTTATGTGAAGATAATTCCTTTTCACCGAAGGCCTCAAACAGCTCAGAACTATCCTTTGTCAGATTGTACAAAATGACAGTTTCCAAACTGCTTAGTCAAACGAAAGATTCAAATCTGAGAGATGAATGCACAAACCACAAAAAAGATTCTCAGAAAGCTTCTGTCTAGTTTTTATGTGAAGATATTTCCTTTTTCACCAAAGGCCTCAAACCTCTCACAAACATCCCTCTCAGGAATCTACAAAAAGACTGTTTCCAAACTGCTCAATCAAAAGAAAGATTCAACTCTGTGTGGTGAATTCACATATCACAAAGAACTTTCACACAAACCTTCTGTCTAGTTTTTATGTGAAGATGTTAACATTTCACCACAGGCCTGAAAGTGCTCCAAATATCCATTTGTAGATCCTGCAAAAAGACTGTTTCCAAACTGCTCAATCAAAAGAAAGTTTCAATGCTGTGCATTGAAAGCACACATCCAAAGAAGTTTCTCAGAAAGCTTCTGTATAGTTTTTATGTGAAAATATGTCCTATTTCACCGTAGGCCTCAATGGGCTCACATATATCCCTTAGCAGTTTTTACAACAAACTGTTTCCAAACTGCTCAATCTAAAGAAATTTTCAACTCTGTGAGATGAATGCACACATCCAAAGAAGTTTCTCAGAATGTTCCTGTCTAGTTTTTATGTGAAGATATTTCCATTTTCACCATAGGCCTCAAACCACTTACAAATATCCGTCTGCAAATTCTACAAAAAGACTGTTTCCAAACTGCTCAATCAAAGGATGCTTCAACTCTGTGAGGTGAATGCACACATCACAAAGAAGTTCCTCAGAATACTTCTGTCTAGTTTTTATGTGAAGATATTTCTTTTTCACCATAGGCCTCAAATGACTCAGAAATATCCCTTAGCAGATTATATAAAAAGAGTGCTTCCAAATTGCTCAATGAAAAGAAAGGTTCAACTATGTGAGATGAATGTCAACATCACAAAAATGTTTCTCCTAAAGAGTCTGTGAAGTTTTTATGTGAAGATGTTTGCTTTTTCACCATAAGTCTCAAACCGCTCACAAATATTCCTCAGCAAATTCTACAAACAGAGCATGTCCCAGCTGCTCAATCAAAAGAAAGGTTCAACACTGTGAGATAAATGCACGCATCACAAAGAACTTTCTCAGAAATCTTCTGTTTAGTTTTCATGTGAAGATATTTCCTTTTTCACCGTGGACCTCAAAGTGCTATAAATATCCATTTGCAGTTCCTACAAAAAGACTGTTTCCAAACTGCTCATTCACAAGAAAATTTTGACTCTGTGAGATGAAAGCACACATCACAAGGAAGTTTCTCAGAAAGCTTCTGTCTCGTTTTTATTGGAAGATATTTCCTTTTTCACCATAGCCCTCAAAGCGCTCTAAATATTCATTTGGAGATTCTACAAAAGGATGGTTTCCAATCTGCTCTATCAAAAAAAGTTTAAACTCTGTAGGGTTAAAGCACACATGAAAAATGAATTTCTCAAAAATCTTCTTCTAGTTTTTTTTTGAAGATATTTCCTTTTTCACCATATGTCTCAAATCCCTCCAAATATTCCTTGGCAGATTATACAAAAATACTGTTTCCAAACTGCTCAATGAAAAGAAATTTTCAACTCTCTCAGATGAATGCACACAGCATAAAGAAGTTTCTCAGAAAGATTCTCTCTAGTTTTTATGTTAAGATATTTCTTTTTTCACCATAGGACTCAAAGCACACTAAATATCCATTTGCAGCTGGTACAAAAAGACTGTGTCCAAACTGCTCAATCAAAACCAATGTTCATCTCTGTGAGATGAATGCACACATCACAAAGAAGTTTCTCAGAATGCTTCCATCTAGTTTTTATGTGAAGATGTTTCCCTTTTCAATGTAGGCCTCAATGGGCTTATACACATCCCTCTGGAGATTCTAGAAAAAGACTGTTCCATATTGTTCAACCAAAGGAAAATTTCAACTCTGTGAGATGAAGGCACACATCCCAAAGAAGTTTCTCAGAATGCTTCTGTCTAGTATTTATGTGAAGATATTTCATTTTTCACTGTACGCTTCAAACCGCACACAAATATCCCTTTGTAGATTCTACAAAAAGATGATTTCCAAGCTGCTCCATCTAAAGAAAGATTGAACTCTGTTAGGTGAATGCACACATCACAAAGAAATACCTCAAAATGCTTCTGTGCAGCTTTATGTGAAGATAATTCCTTTGTCACCATAGGGCTGAAGTCACTCTCAAATATCCCTTTGCAGATTCTACAAAAAGACTGCCTCTGACTCCTCAATCAAAAGAAAGATTCAACTCTGTGAGATGAATGCAAGCATGAAAGAAGCTTCTCAGAAATCTTCTGCCTTGTTTTTATGATAAGATATTTCCTTTTGCACCATAGGCCTCAAAGTGCTCCAAATATCCCTTTGCAGATACTACAAAAAGACTGTTTCCAAACTGCTCTATCAAAAGAAAGGTTCAACTCTGTGAGATGAATGCACATATCAAAAGGAATTTTCTCAGAATGCTTCTGTCTAGTTTTTATTTGAAGATATTTCCCTTTTCAACATAGGCCTCAATGGGCTCACGTATATCCCTCTGGAGATTCCAGAAAAAGACTGTTTCCAAACTGCTCAATCAAGGGAAAATTTCTACTCTGTATGATGAAGGCACACATCCCAAAGAAGTTTCTCAGAATGCTTCTGTCTAGTATTTATGTGAAGATATTTCCTTTTTCACCGCAGTCTTCAAACCACTCACAAATATCCCTTTGCAGATTCTACAAAAAGATGATTTCCAAACTGCTCCTTCAAAAGAAAGATTGAACTCTGTTAGATGAATGCACACAGCACAAAGAAGTACCTCAAAGTGCTTCTGTCTAGCTTTATGTGAAGATATTTCCTTTGTCACCATAGGGCTGAAACCACTCCCTTTGCAGATTCTACAAAAAGAATGCCTCCGACTGCTCAATCAAAAGAAAGGTTCAACTCTGTGAGATGAATGCCCACATCCAAAGAATTTTCTCAGAAATCTTCTGTCTAGTTTTCTTGTTAAGGTATTTCCTTTTACACCATAGGCCTCAAAGCACTGCAAATATCCCTTTGCAGATACTACAAAAAGACTGTTTCCAAACTGCTCTATCAAAAGGAAGGTTCAACTCTGTGAGATGAATGCACGCTTCACAAGAAAGTTTTTCAGAATGCTTCTGTCTAGTTTTTATTTGAAGTTATTTCCCTTTTCAACATAGGCCTCAATGGGCTTACACATATCCCTCTGGAGATACTAGAAAAAGACCATTTCCAAACTGCTCAATCAAGGGAAAATTTCTACTCTGTGTGATGAAGACACACATCACAAAAAAGTTTCTCAGAATGCTTATTTCTAGTATTTATGTGAAGATATTTCCTTATTCACCACAGGCTTCAAACCACTCACAAATATCCCTTTGCAGATTCTACAAAAAGACGATTTCCAAACTGCTCCTTCAAAAGAAAGATTGAACTCTGTTAGGCGAATGCACACATCACAAAGAAGTACCTCAAAGGGCTTCTGTCTAGGCTTATGTGAAGATATTTCCTTTGTCACCATAGGGCTGAAACCACTCTCAAATATCCCTTTGTAGATTCTACAAAAAGACTGCCTCCAACTGCTCAATCAAAAGAAAGATTCAACTCTGTGAGATGAATGCCCACATCCAAAGAATTTTCTCAGAAATCTTCTGTCTAGTTTTCTTGTTAAGGTATTTCCTTTTACACCATAGGCCTCAAAGCACTGCAAATATCCCTTTGCAGATACTACAAAAAGACTGTTTCCAAACTGCTCTATCAAAAGGAAGGTTCAACTCTGTGAGATGAATGCATGCATCACAAGGAAGTTTCTCAGAATACTTCTGTCTAGTTTTTATTTGAAGATATTTCCCTTTTCAACATAGGCCTCAATGGGTTCACACATATCCCTCTGGAGATACTAGAAAAAGACCATTTCCAAAATGCTCAATCAAGGGAAAATTTCTACTCTGCGTGATGAAGCCACACATCACGAAGAAGTTTCTCAGAATACTTATTTCTAGTATTTATGTGAAGATATTTCCTTTTTCACCACAGGCTTCAAACCACTCACAAATATCCCTTTGCAGATTCTACAAAAAGACGATTTCCAAACTGCTCCTTCTAAAGAAAGATTGAACTCTGTTAGATGAATGCACACATCACAAAGAAGTACCTCAAAATGCTTCTATCTAGCTTTATGTGAAGATATTGCCTTTGTCACCATAGGGCTGAAACCACTCTCAAATATCCCTTTGCAGATTCTACAAAAAGACTGCCTCCAAACTGCTCAATCAAAGGAAAGGTACAACTCTGTGAGATAAATGCCCGCATCCAAAGAATTTTCTCAGAAATCTTCTGTCTAATTTTTATGTTAAGATATTTCCTTTTACACAATAGGCCTCAAAGCGCTGCAAATATCCCTTTGCAGATACTACAAAAAGACTGTTTCCATACTGCTCAATCAAAGGAAAGATTCAACTCTGTGAGTTGAATGCACACATCACAAGGAAGGTTCTCAGAAAGCTTCTGTATAGTTTCTATGTGAAGATATTTCCTTATTAACCATAGGCCTCAAAGTGCTCCAAGTATCCCTTTGCAGATTCTACAAAAAGACTTTTTCCAAACTGATCGATCAAAAGAAAGATTCAACTGTTTTAGTTGAAAGGACACAAAACAGAGAAGTTTCTCAGAAAGCTTCTGTCTAGATTTTATGTGAAGATATTTCCTTTTTCACCATGTGCCTCAAAGGGCTCACAAATATCCATTTGCAGATTCTATAAAAAGACGGTTTCCAAAGTGCTCAATCGAAAGAAAGGTTCAAGTATGCGGTTTGAATACACACATCACAAATAAGTTTCTCAGAATGCTTCTGTCTAGTTTTTATGTGAAGATATTTCCCTTTTTACCATAGGCATTAAAGTGATTACAAATATCCCTTTGCAGATTTCACAAAAAGACTGCTTCCAAACTGCTCAATCAAAAAAAAGGTTGTGTCAGCCAGGCATGGTGACTCAAGCCTGTAGTCCCAGCACTTTGGGAGGCTGAGGCAGGCAGATCACAAGGTCAGGAGATTGAGACCATCCTGGCTAACACGGTGAAACCCCGTCTCTACTAAAAATACAAAAAATTAGCTGGGCGTGGTGGCGGGCACCTGTAGTCCCAGCTGCTTGGGAGGCTGAGGCAGGAGAATGGTGGGAACCTGGGAGGCAGAGCTTGCAGTGAGCCGAGATCATGCCACTGCACTCCAACCTGGGCTACAGAGCCAGACTCCGTCTCAGAAAAAAAAAAAAAAAGGTTGCACTCTGTGAGGTGATTGCACACATCACAAAGAAATTTCTCAAAATGCTTCAATCTAGTTTTTATATGAAGTCATTTCCCTTTTCAATATAGGCCCCAAACCGCTCACAAATACCCCTTTGTAGATTCCACAAAAAGTCTCCAAATTGCTCAATTAAAAGAAAGCTTCAAAACTGAGAGATGAATGCACACATAACAAAGAAGTTTCTCAGAAAACTTCTGTCTAGTTTTAATGTGAAGATATTTCCTTATTCACCAGAGGCCACAAAGCGATCCAAATATCACTTTGCAGATTCTACAAAAAAGATTGTTTCCAAACATATCAATCAAAAGGAAGGTTCAACTCTGAGAGATGAAATCACACATCACAAAGAAGTTTCTCAGAAAGCTTCTGTCTAGTTTTATGAGAAGATATATCCTTTTTTACCATAGGTCTCAAAGGGCTCAAAAACACCCATTTGCAGATTCTACAAAAGCACTGTTTCAAAGGATTCAATCAAAAGAATGGTTCAACTCTGTGAGATGAAGGCACAAACCAGAAGAAGTTTCTCAGAAGGCTTCTCTCTGGTATTTATGTGAAGATATTTCCATTTCCACTACAGACCGCACTGGGCTCCATATATCTCTTGGCAGATTTTACAAAAATACTGTTTCCAAACTGCACAATCAAAAGAAAAGCTCAACCCTGTGACATGAATGCACACATCACAAAGAAGTTTCTCAGAAAGCTTCTGTCTAGTTTTTATGTTGAGATATTTCCTTTTTCACCACAGGTCTCAAAGTGCCCCAAGTATCCCTTTGCAGATTCAAGAAAAAGACTGTTTCCAAACTGACCAACCAAAGAAAGGTTCAATCCTCTGAGATGAAATCCCACAACACAGAGAAGTTTCTCAGAAAGCTTCTAATTTTTATGTGAAGCTATTCCCTTTTTCACCATAGGCCTCAAAGGGCTCACAAATATCCCTGTGCAGATTCTACAAAAGGAATGTTTCCAAACTGCTCAATCAAAAGAAAGGCTCATCTCTGTGAGATGAAAGCGCACATCACAAAGAAGTTTCTCAGATGGCTTCTGTCTAGTTTTTATGTGAAGATAGTTCCTTTTCTACTACAGGAAACAATGCGCTCAAAACATCCATTTTTGGATTCTACAAAAGACTGTTTCCAAACTGCTCAATCAAAAGAATGGTTCTAATCTGTGAGATGAAAGCCCACATCAAACAGAGGTTTCTCAGAAAGTTTCTGTCTAGTTTTTATTTAAATATTTTCCTTATTCACCACAGGCCTCAAAGTGCTCCAAATATCCCCTTGGAGATTCTACAAAAAGACTGTTTCCAAACTGCTCAATGAAAAGAAAGGTTCAACTTTGTGAGATGAATGCACATAACAAAAAAGTTTCTGAGAAATTTTTTGTCTCGTTTTTATGTGAAGACATTTCCTTTTTCACTATAGGCCTCAAAGTGAACCAAATATCCATTTGCAGATTCTACAAAAAGACTGCTTCCAAACTGCTCAATCAATAGAAATGTTGAACTCTGTGAGATGAATGCACACATCACAATGAAGTTTCTCCACAAGCTTCTGTCTAGTTTTTATGTGAAGATATTGTTTTCACCATAGGCCTCAAACTGCTCATAAATATCTCTTTGAAGATTCTACAAAAAGACTGTTTCCAAACTGCTTAATCAAAAGATAGGTTCAACTCTCTGAGATGAATGCACACATCACAGAGAAGTTTCTCAGAAAGTTTCTATTTTTTATTTGAGGATATTTCCTTTTTCACCATAGGCCTCAAAGGGCTCCAAGTATCCCTTTGCAGATTCTGTAAAAAGACTGTTTCCAAACTGATCAAACAAAAGAAACTTTCAACAGTGACATGAAAACACACATCACAAAGTATTTTCTCAGAAAACTTCTGTCTAGTTTTTATGTGAAGATATTTCCCTTTTCACCATAGGCCTCAAAAGGCACACAAGTATCCACTTGTAGATTTTACAAAAAGGCTGTTTCCACACTGCTCAATCAAAAGAAAGTTTCATCTCTGTGAGATGAATGCACCCATCAAAAAGAAGTTTCTCAGAATGCTTCTGTCTTGCTTCTATGTAAACGTAATTCCTTTTTTAACACAGTATGCAAACCAATCAAAAATGTCCCTTTGCAGTTTCTACAAACAGAGTGTTTCTAAACTGCTCAATCAACAGAAAGGTTCAACTCTGTGAGATGAATGCACACAACACAAAGAAGTTTCTCAGAAAGGATCTGTCTAGTTTTTATGTTGAGATATTTCCTTTTTCACCTTGGGCCTCAAAGCGCTCCAAATATCCATTTGCAGATTCTACAAAAAGACTGTTTCCAAACTGCTCAATAAAAAGAAAGATTCAACTCTGTGGGATGAAAGCACACATCACAAAGGAGTTTCCCAGAAAGTTTCTGTCCAGTTTTTATGTTGAGATATTTCCTTTTTCACCATAGGCCTCCAAGTGCTCCAAATATCCATTTTCAGATTCTACAAAAAGACTATCTCCAAGCTGCTCAATGAAAAGTAAGGTTCAACTCTGTGAAATGAAAGCCACATCGCAAAGAATTTTGCCAGAAAGCTTCCGTCTAGTTCTTATATGGAGACATTTCATTTTTCACTGTACGCCTCAAAGCGCTACACATATCCCTCTGAGGAAACTACGAAAAGACTTTTTCCAAACTGCTCAATGAAGGAAACATTGAACTCTTTGAGATGAATGCACACATCATAAAGAAGTTTCTCAGAAAGCTTCTGTCTAGTTTTTATAGGAAGGTATTTCGTTATTCACCATACGCCTCAAAGCGTTACATATATCCATGGCCAGATTCTACAAAAAGACTGTTTCCAAACGACTCAGACAGTAGAAAGGCTCAACTCTGTGAGATGAATGCCCACATAACAAAGATGTTTCTTAAAAACTTTCTGTCTAGTTTTCATGTGAAGATATTTCCTTTTTCACCATAGGCCTCAAACTGCTCAGAAATATGCATTTGCAGATTTAACAAAAGGACTGTTTCCAAACTGCTTAATCAAAAGAAATGTTCAACTCTGTGAGATGAATGCACACATCACAGAGAAGTTTCTCAGAAAGCTTCTGTCTAGTTTTTATTTGAAGATATCTACTTTTTCACCCGACGCCACAAAGTGCTCCAAGTTTCCCTTTGCAGATTCTACAAAAAGACTGTTTCCAAACTGATCAATCAAAAGAAAGGTTCAATTCAGTGAGATGAAATCACACAACACAGAGAAGTTTCTCAGAGGGAGTCTGTCTAGTTTTTATGTGAAGATATTTCTTTTTTGTCATGGGACACAAAGGGCTCACAAATATCCCTTTTTCGGATACTATAAAAAAAACTGTTTACAAACTGCTTAATCCAAAGGAAGGTTGAACTCCGTGAGATGAATGCACTCATCACAAAGTTGTTTGTCAGAAAGATTCGATCTAGTTTTATGAGAGGATATTTCCTTTTTCACCATAGGCCCCAAAGCGGTCAGAAATATCCCTTTGCAGATTCTACAAAACGACTGCATCCAAACTGCTCAATCAAAAGAAACGTTCAACTCTGTGAGATGAATGCAAACATCACAATGTAGTTTCTCAGAATGCTTCTGTCTAGTCTTTATGTGAAGGTATTTCCCTTTTCACCATATTCCCCAAACTGCTCACAAATATCCCTTTGAAGATTCTACAAAAAGAAGACTGTGTCCAAGCTGCTCAATCAAAAGAAAGCTTCACTTTGTGAGATGAATGCACACATAACAAATAAGTTTCTTGGAAAACTTCTCTCTACTTTTTATGTGAAGGTATTTCCTTATTAACCACAGACCCCAAAGCACTGCCAATGTCCCCTTGCAGGTTTTACAAAAAGACTGTCTCAAAATTGTCCAATCAAAAGTAAGGTTCAACTCTATGAGATGAAAGTCCACATCCCAAAGAAGTTTCTCAGAAAGCTTCTGTCTAGTTTTTATGTGAATATTTTCCTTACTCACCATAGGCCTCAAAGCGCTCACAATATCCCTTTGGATATCCTACAAAAAGACTGTTCCCAAACTGCTCAATCAAAAGAAAGGTTCAACTCTGTGAGATGAGTACACTCATCAAAAAGAAGTATCTCAGAAAGATTCTGTCTAGTTTTTATGGGAAGATATTTAGTTTTTCAACATACACCTCAAAGTGCTACACATATCCCAGGCCACATTCAACAAAAAGACAGTTTCCAAAAGACTTAATCTGTAGAAATGTTCAACTCTGTGAGATGAATGCACACATAACAAAGAAATTTCTCAGAAACCTTCTGTCTACTTTTTTTATGAAGATAATTCCCTTTTCACCATATTCCACAAACGGCTCACAAATATCCCTTTGCAGATTCTATAAATGGACTGTCTCTAAACTGCTCCTTCAAAAGAAACCCTCAACTCTGTGAGATGAATGCACACATCACAAAGAAGTTTCTCAGAAGAACTCTGTGTAGTTTTTATGTGAAGATATTTCCTTTTCCACCATAGGCCTCAATGTGCTCCAAATATCCCTTGACAGATTCTACAAAAAAGACTGTTTCCAAACTGCTCTATCAAAAGAAAGTTTTAACTCTATTAGATGAAAGCCCACATCACAAAGAAGTTTCTCAGAAATCTGTCTGGTTTTTATCCGAATATTTTCCTTATTCAACATAGGCCTCAAAGTGCTCCAAATATCCCTTTGGAGATTCCACAAAAAGACCATTTCCAAACTGCTCAATGAAAACAAAGTTTGAACTCTATGAGATAAATATACACATCACAAAGAAGTTTCTCAGAAATATTATGTCTAGTTTTAATGTGAAGATTCTTCTTTTTTCACCATATGCCTCAAAGCGCTACATATATCCCTTGGAAGATTCTGCAAAAGACTGTTTACAAACTGCTCAATCAATAGAAAGTTTCAATTCTTGAGATGAATGCACCTATCATAAAGAAGTTCCTCAGAAAGCTTCTGTCTAAATTTTATCTGAATATTTTCTTTATTCAACATAGGCCTCAAGGTGCTCCAAATATCCCTTTGGAGATTCCACAAAAAGATCATTTCTAAACTGCTCAATGAAAAGAAAGGTTGAACTCTGTGAGATGAATGCACATATCACAAAGAAGTTTCTCAGAAATCTTCTGTTTAGTTTTTATGTGAAGATTCCTCATTTTTCACCATATGCCTCAAAGCACTACATATATCCATTGGCAGATTCTACAAAAGACAGTTTCCAAGCTTCTCAATCAATAGAAAGGTTCAACTCTGTGAGATGAATGCATTCATCACAAAAAAGTTTCTCTTGTTTTTTTAATTTTATTTATTATTTTACTTTAAATTGTAGGGTACATGGGCACAATGTGCAGGTTTGTTACATATGTATACATGTGTCATATTGGTGAGCTGCACCCATTAACTCGTCATTTAGTATTAGTTATATCTCCTAATGTTATCCATCCCCCATCCCTGTGATGTTTCCTTTCCTGTGTCCTTGTGCTCTCGTTGTTCAATTCCCACCTATGAGTGACAACATGCGGTGTTTGATTTTCTGTCCTTGAGATAGTTTGATGAGAATGATGGTTTCCAGCTTCATCCATCTCCCTACAAAGGACATGAACTTATCATTTTTTATGGCTACATAGTTTTCCATGGGTTATATGTGCCACATTTTCTTAATCCAGTCTATCATTGTTGGACATTTAGGTAGCTTCCAAGTCAAAAGTTTCTGTCTAGTTTTTATTTGAAGATGTTTCCTTTTTCACCACAGGCCTCAAAGAGCTCCAAGTATCCCTTTGCAGATACTACAAAAACACTGTTTCAAAACTGATCAACCAAAAGGAAGTTTCAACTCTGTGAGATGAAAGCACACATCACAAACCAGTTTCTCACAAAGCTTCTGTCTAGTTTTTATGTTGAGCTATTTCCTTTTTCACTTTGGGCTTCAAAGCGCTCCAAATATCCATTTGCAGATTCCACAAAGGACTGTTTCCAAACTGCCCAATCAAAACAAAGGTTCAACTCTGTGAGATGAAAGCCCACATCACAAGGAAGTTTCTCAGTAAGTTTCTGTCTAGTTTTTATGTGAATATTTTCCTTATTTAACATAGGCCTCAAAGCACTCAAAATATCCCTTTGGGGATCCTACAAAAAGACTGTTTCCAAACTGCCAAATGAAAAGTAAGGTGGAACTGTGTCAGATGGATGCACACTTCACAAAGAAGTTTCTCAGAAAGCTTCTGTCTAGTTTTTATAGGAAGATATTTCGTTTTTCACCATATGCCTCAAAGCGCTCTACATATCCTTTGCCAGATTCTACAAAAAGACTGTTTCCAAACTACGCAATCAATGTAAAAGTTCAACTCTGTGTGATGAATGCACACATCACAAAGAAGTTTCTCAAAACCCTTCTGTCTAGTTTTTATGTGAAGATATGTCCTTTTTCACCACAGGCCTCAAAGGGATCACAAATATCCATTTGCAGATTCTATAAAAAGACTGTTTCCACACTGCTCAATCAAAAGAAAGGTTCAACTCTGTGAAATGAATGCACACATCACAAAGAAGTTTCTCAGAAAGCTTCTGTCTAGTTTTTATGTGAAGATATTTCCTTTTTCAAAATAGGCCTCAAAGGGCTCCAAGTAACACTTTGCAGATTCTACAGAAAGACTGTTTCCAAACTGATAAACCAAAAGAAAGTTTCAATTCTGTGAGATGAAAACACACATCACAAAGAAGTTTCTCAGAACACTCCTGTCTAGTCTTTATGTGAAGACATTTCCATTTTCACCATAGGCCTCAAAGGGCTCACAAGTATCACTTTGCAGATCCTACAAAAAGACTGTTTCCAAAATGCTCAATCAGAAGAAAGTTTCAACTCTGTGAGATGAATGCACACATCACAAAGAAGTTTATCAGAAAGTTTCTGTGTTGTTATGTGAAGATATTTCCTTTTTCAACAAAGGCTGCATACCGCTCACAAATATCCATTTGCAGATACTACAGAAAGACTGTTTGCAAACTGCTCAATGAAAAGAAAGCTTCAACTCCGTGAGATGAATGCAAACATCACAAAGAAGTTTCTCAGAAAACTTCTCTCTATTTTTTATATGAAGATATTTCCCTATTCACCACAGGCACCAAAGCGCTCCAAATATCACTTTGCAGATACTACAAAAAGAAGATTTCTAAACTGATCAATAAAAGGAAAATTTCAACACTGTGAGATGAAATCACACATTACAAAGAAGTTTCTCAGAAAGCTTCTGTCTAGTTTTTATGTGAAGATATTTCCTTTTTCACCATAGACCTCAAAGGGCTCACAAATATCTCTTTGTAGATTCTACAAAAGGACTGTTTCCAAACTGCTCAATCAAAAGAAAGGTTCAACTCTGTAAGATGAATGCGCACATCACAAAGAAGTTTCTCAAAAGGCTTCTGTCTAGTTGTTATGTGAAGATATTTTCTTTTCTACTACAGGAAACAATGCACTCAAAACATCCATTTTCAGATTCTACAAAAGACTGTTTCCAGACTGCTCAATCAAAAGAAAGGTTCAAATCTGTCAGATGAAAGCCCACATCAAACAGAGGTTTCCCAGAAAGCTTCTGTCTAGCTTTTATGTAAATATTTTCCTTATTCACCATAGGCCTCAAAGTGCTCCAAATATCCCCTTGGAGATTCTATCAAAAGACTGTTTCCAAACTGCTCAATGAAAAGAAAGGTTCAACTATGTGAGATGAATGCACATAACAAAGAAGTTTCTGAGAAAGTTTTTGTCTAGTTTTTATGTGAAGATATTTCCTTTTTCACTATAGGCCTCAAAGTGCACCAAATATCCATTTGCAGATTCTACAGAAAGACTGCTTCCAAACTGCTCAATGAAAAGAAATGTTGAACTCTGTGAGATGAATGCACACATCACAAAGAAGTTTCTCAGAAAGCTTCTGTCTAGTATTCATGTGAAGATATTTCCTTCTTCACCACAGGCCCCAAAGCTCTCCAAATATCCCTTTGTAGGCTCTACAAAAGCACTGTCTCCAAACAGCTCAATCTAAAGAATGGTTCAACTCTGTTAGATGAATTCAAACATCACAAAGAGGTTTCTCAGAAAGCTTCTGTCTAGTTTTTAAGTGAAGATATTTCCTTATTCACCATATGCCCAGAACTGCTCCAAATATCACTTTGCAGATTCTGCAAAAAGACTGTTTCCGAAGTAATAAATGAAAATAAAGGTTCAACTCCATGATATAAATGCACACAACACAAAGAAGTTTCTCCAAAATCTTCTGACTAGTTTTTAGGTGAAGATATTTCCTTTTTCACCATAGGCCATGAAGCACTCCAAATATCCATTTGCAGATTCTACAAAAAGACTGTGTCCAAACTGCTCAATGAAAAGAAAGGTTGAACTCTGTGAGATGAAAGCACACATCACAAAGAAGTTTCTCAGCAAGCTTCTGTCTAGTTTTTATGTGCAGATATTTCATTTTTCACCATATGCCTCAAAGCACTACAAATATTCCTTGGCAGATTCTACAAAAAGACTGTTTCCAAACTGCTTAATCAAAGAAAAGGTTCAAGTCTGTGAGATGAAAGCACACATCACAAAGAAGTTTCTCACAAAACTTCTGTCTAGTTTTTATGTGAAGATAATTCATTTTTTACCATAAGCCCCAAACGGCTCAAAAGTATCCCATTGCAGATTCTACAAAAGACTGTTTCCAAAGTGCTCAATAAAAAGAAAGGTTCGAAGCTGTGACATGAATGCACACATCACAAAGAAGTTTCTCAGAATGCTTCTCTCTTCTTTTTATGTGAAGGTATTTCCTTTTTCAACATAGGCCCCAAAACGCTCACAAATATCCCTTTGCAGATTGTACAAAAAGACTGTTTCCAAACTGCTCAAGGAAAAGAAAGGTTCAACTCTGTGAGGTGAATGCACATTACAAAGAACTTTCTCAGAAAGCTTCTGTCTAGTATTTATGTGAAGGTATTTCCCTTTTCACTATATGCCACAAAGTGCTCCAAGTATCCATTTGCAGATTCTACAAAAAGACTGTCTCCAAACTGTGCTATGAAAAGAAAGGTTGAACTCTGTGAGATGAATGCAAACATCACAATGAAGTTTCTCAGAAACCTTCTGTCTAGTTTTTATTTGAAGATACTTTTTATTCACCATATGCCTCAATACACTCCAAATATCCCTCTGCAGACTGTACAAAAACACTGTTTCCAAAGTGCTCAATGAAAAGAAATGTTCAACTCTGGAAGATGAAAGCAAACATCACAAAGAAGTTTCTCAGAGAGCATCTGTCTAATTTTTATGTGAAGATATTTCCTTTTTCACCATTGGCCACAAAGGGCCCAAAAACATCCCATTGCAGTTTCTACAAAAGGACTGTTTCCAAACTGCTCAGTTAAAAGAAAGTTTCAATGCTGTGAGATGAATGCACACATCACAAAGAAGTTTCTTCGAAAGCTTCTGTCAAATTTTTAAGAGAAGATATTACCTTTTTCACCATAGGCCTCAAAGTGCTCTAAATATCCGTTTGCAGATTCTACAAAAAGACAGTCTCCAAACTGCTGAATGAAAAGAAATGTTCAAATCTGTAAAATGAAAGCCCACATCACAAAGAAGTTTCTCAGAAAGCTTCTGTCTAGTTTTTATGTAAAGATATTTCATTTTTCACCGTGGTATTAAAAGTGCTCCAAATATCCATTTATGGATTCTACAAAAAGACAGTTTCTAAACTTATCAATGAAAAGAATGGTTCAACTCGGTGAGATGAAAGAACACGTCACAAAGAAGTTTCTCAGAAAGCTGCAGTTTTGTTTTTATGTGAAGATATTTCCTTTTTCACCATCGGCCTGAAAGTGCTCCAAATATCTCTTTGCAGATTCTACAAAAAGACTGTCTCCTAACTGCTCAACTGAAAGGAAGGTTCAACTCTTTGAGATGAATGCACACATACCAAAGAAGTGTCCCTGAAAACTTTTGTCTAGTGTTTATGTGAAAACACTTCCTTTCTCACCACAGGCCTAAAACTGCTCACAAATATCCCTTTACAGATTTTACAAAAAGACTTCAAACAGCTCAATCAAAATACAGGTTCAACTCTGTTAGATGAATGCCCATATCACAAAGAAGTTTATCAGAAAACTTCTGTCTAGTTTTTATGTGAAGGTATTTCCTTTTTCACCATAGGCTGAAAAGCACTCACGAATATCCCTTTGCAGATTCTACAAAAAGACTGTTTCCAAACAGGTCAATCAAAAGAAATGTTCACATCTGTGAGATGAATGCACACATCACAAAGAAGTTTCTCAGAATGCTTCTGTCTAGTTTTTATGTGAAGAAATTTCATTCTTCACCTTAGGCCTCAAAGTGCACCAAATGTCCTGTTGCAGATTCCACAAAAATACTGTTTCCAAACTGCTCAATCAAAAGAAAAGTTCAACACTGTGCACTGAATGCACACATCACAAAGAAGTTTCTCAGAAAGCTTCTTTCTAGTTTTTATGTGAAGATATTTCCTTATTCACCTTAGCCCTCAAAGGACTCCAAATATGCCTTTGCAGATTCTAAAGACAGACAGTTTCAAAACTGCTAAATCAAAAGGATTCAACTGTGTGAGATGAATAGACACATCAAAAAGTGGTTTCTCCGAAAGATTTTGTCAAGTTTTTATATGAAGATATTTCCTTTTTCACCATAGGTCTCAAAATGCTCTAAATGTCCATTTGCATATTATACAAAAAGACCGTTTCCAAACTCCTCAATAAAAAGTAAGGCTCAAATCTGTGAGATGAAAGCACATATCACAAATAATTTTGTGAGAAAACTTCTGTCTACTTTTTATGTGAAGATAGATCGTTTTTCACCATAGCCCTCACACCACTCTGAAATATCCCTTTTCAGATTGTACAAAAAGACTGTTTCCAAACTTCTCAATCAAAAGAAAGGTTCAACTCTGTGCGGTGAATGCACACATCACAAAGGCGTTTCTCAAAAAGCATCTGTCTAGTTTTTATGTGTAGATATTTCCTATTACAACATGGGTCTCAAACCGCTCAGAAATATGCCTCTGTAGATTGTACCATAAGACTGTTTCCAAATTGCTCAATCAAAAGAAAGTTTCAACTTTGTGAGATGAATGCACACATCACAAATAAGTTTCTCAGAATGTTTCTTTCTAGTTTTTATGTGAAGATATTTCAATTTTCACCATAGATGTCATACTGCTCACCAATATCTCACTGCAGGTTATAAGAAAAGAGTTTCCAAAATGCTCAATTGAAAGAAAGGTTCAACTCTGTGAGATGAAAGCACACAGCACAAAGAAGTTTCTCAGAAAGCTTCTGACTAGTTCTTATGTGAAGATATTTCCTATTTCACCACAGGCCTCAATGGGCTCACAAATATACATTTGCACGTTCTCCAAAAATACTGTTTGTAAACTGCTCAATCCAAACAAATTTCAACAGTGTGATATGAATGCAAACATCATAAAGAAGTTTCTCAGAATGCTTCTGTCTAGTTTTTATGTGAAGCTATTTCTTTTTCACCATAAGCCTCAAAATGCTCAGAAATATCCCATTGTAGATTTTGCAACTCTGTGAGATGAATGCACACATCAAAAAGATATTTCCCAAAAAGCGTCACTCTACTTTTTATGTGAACATATTTCCTGTTTCACCATAGGCCTCATACCGCTCAGAAACATCCATCTGCATAATCTACAAAAAGACTGATTCCAAACTGTTCAATTAAAAGAAAGGTTCAACTCTGTGAGATGAATGCAAACATCACAAATAAGTTTCTCAGAAAGCTTCTGTCTATTTTTTATGTGAAAATATTTCCTTTTTCACCATAGGCCTCAAAGCACTCCAAATATCCATTTGCAGACTCTATAAAAAGACTGTTTCCAAATTGCTCAATCAAAAGAAAGGTGTAATTCTGTGAGATAAAGGCATGCATCACAAACAATTTTATCAGAAAGCTTCTGTATAGTTTTTATGTGCAGATTTTTCAATTTTCACCATAGGTCTCAAACCACAGAAAAATATCCCTATGCGGAAACTACAAAAAGACTGATTCCAAATTGCTCAATCAAAAGAAAGGTTCAACTCTTTGAGATAAATGCACACATCTAAAGAAGTTTCTCAGAAAGCTTCTGTCTAGTTTTTATGTGAAGATATTTCCTTTTTCACCATAGGCCTAAAAACACTCCAATTATCCATTTGCAGATTATACAAAAAGACTGTTTCCAAATTTCTCCATCAAAAGAAAGGTTCAACTCTGTGAAGTGAAAGCACACATCACAAAGGAGTTTCTCAGAATGCTTCTGTCTAGTTTCTATGGGAAGATATTTCCCATTTCATCATAATCCTCAAAGGACTCACAAATATCCCTTTGCAGATTCCAGAAAACACTGTTTCCAAACTGCTTAATCAAAAGAAAGGATCAACTGTGTGAGATGAATGCACACGTCAGAAAGCAGTTTCTCATAATGCTTCTGTCTAGTTTTTATGTGAAAATATTTCCATTTTCACCATAGGCCTCAAACTGCTCACAAATATCCCACTGCAGATTATAAAAAAGACTGTTACTAAAATGTTCAATCCAAAGAACGTTTCAACTCTGTGAGATGAATGCACACATCACAAAGAATTTTCTCATAATGCTTCTGTCTAGTTTTTATGTGAAAATATTTATTTTTCACCATAGGCCTCAAACCACTTAAAAATACCCCTCTACACCAACAGTGTAAAAGTGTTCCTATTTCTCCCCATCCTCTCCAGCACCTGTTGTTTCCTGACTTTTTAATGATTGCCATTCTAACTGGTGTGAGATGGTATCTCATCGTGGTTTTGATTTGCATTTCTCTGATGGCTAGTGATGATGAGCATTTTTTCATGTGTTTTTTGGCTGCATAAATGTCTTCTTTTGAGAGGTGTCTGTTCATGTCCTTCGCCCACTTTTTGATGGGGTTGTTTGTTTTTTTCTTGTAAATTTGTTTGAGTTCATTGTAGATTCTGGATATTAGCCCTTTGAACAATGAGATCACATGGACACAGGAAGGGGAATATCACACTCTTGGGACTGTGGTGGGGGGGAGGGGGGAGGGATAGCATTGGAAGATACACCTAATGCTAGATGACGAGTTAGTGGGTGCAGCGCACCAGCATGGCACATGTATACATATGTAACTAACCTGCACAATGTGCACATGTACCCTAAAACTTAAAGTATAATAAAAAAAAAGAAACAAGAAACAAACAAACAAAAAAAAAAAATACCCCTCTGCAGAATCTAAAAAAAGACTGTTTCCAAACTGCTAAATCAAAAGAAAGGTTCAACTCTCGGAGATGAATGCACACATCACAAAGAAGTTTGTCAAAAAGTGTCTGTCTAGTTTTTATGTGAATATATTTCCTTTTTCCCCACAGGACTCAAGCTACTCAAAAATATCCCTCTGCAGAAACAACAAAAGGTCTGTTTCAAAACTACTCAATCAAAAGAAAGGTTTAACTCAGTGAGATGAAAGCACACATCACAAAGCAGTTTCCCAGAAAGTTTCTCTCTAGGTTTTATGTGAAGATATTTCCTTTTTCACCATAGGCCTCAAAGCGATGCAAATATCCATTTGCAGATTCTACAAAAAGACTGTTTCCAAACTGCTCAATGAAAAGAAAGGCCCAACTCTGTGAGATGAAAGCACACATCACAAATAAGCTTCTCAGAATGCTTCTGTCTAATTTTCATGTGAAGATATTTCCTTTTTCACCATAGGCCTCAAAGCACTCCAAATATCCATTTGAAGATACTACAAAAAGAGTTTTTCCAAACTGCTCAATCAAATGAAAAGTTAAACTCTGTGAGATGAATGCACACCTCACAAAGAAGTTTCTCAGAATGCCTCTGTCTAGTTTTTATTTGAAGATATTTCCTTTTTCACCACAGGCCTCGAACCGCTCAAAAATATCCCTCTCCACATTATAAAAAAAGACCGTTTCCAATCTGCTCAATCAAAAGAAAAGTTTAACCCTATAAGGTGTAATCACACATCATGAAGAAGTTTCTCAGAAAGCTTCTTTGTAGTTCTTATGTGAAGATATTTCCTATTTAACCATAGGCCTCAATGGGCTCACATATATCCCTCTGCAGATTCTACAAAAGACTGTTTCCAAAGTCCTCAATCAAAAGAAAGTTTCAACACTTTGAGATGAATGCACACATCACAGAGAAGTTTCTCAGAAAGTTTCTGTCTAGTTTTTATGTGAAGATATTTCCTTTTTCACCATAGGTCTCAAAGCTCTCCAAATATCCAATGCATATTCTACCAAAAACTGTTTCCTAACTGCTCAATCAAAAGAAAGGTTCAACTCTGTGAGTTGAAAGCACACATCACACAGAAGTTTGTCAGAAAGCTTCTGTATTGTTTTTATGTGAAGATATTACTTTTTCACCATAGGCTTCAAACTGCTCAGAAATAACCCTTTGGAGATTGTAAAAAAAGTCTTTGTTGAATCTGAAATGGATATTTGTGATCGCTTTGATGCCTATGATGAAAAAGGAAATATCTTCATGTAAAAACGAGACAGAATTTTTCTGAGAAACTTCTTTGTGATGCGTGCATTCATCTCATAGAATTGACACTTTCTTTTGATTGGTCTGCTTGGAAAAAGTCTTTTTGTAGAATCTGCAATGGGATATTTGTGATCACTTTGAGGCCTATGGTGAAAAAGGAAATATATTCATATAAAATCCAGACAGAAGCTTTCTGAGAAACTACTTTGTGATGTGGGCTTTCATATCATAGAGTTGAACCTTTGTATTGAATGATAAGTTTGGATATACTGGTTTTGTAGAATCTCCAATGGGATATACATGAGCGGTTTGAGGCCTAGGGTGAAAAAGGAAATATCTTCAAATAAAACTAGACAGAAGCTTTCTGAGAAACATCTTTGTGATATGTGCTTTCATCTCACAGAGGTGAAACTTTCTTTTGATTGTGCAGTTTGGAAACAGTCTTTTTGTAGTATCTGCAAAGGGATATTTGTGAGTCCTTTGAGGCCCATGGTGAAATAGGAAATATCTTCACATAGAAACAAGACAGAAGCTTTCTGAGAAACTCCTTTCTAATGTTTGCTTTCATCTCACAGGGTTGAACCTTTCTTTGATTGAGCAGTTTGGAAACAGTTTTTTTGTAGGATCTGCAAAGGGATACTTGGAGAACTTTGAGGACTGTGGTGTGAAAGGAAATATCTTCAAATAAAAACTAGACAGAAGATTTCTGAGAAATTTCTTTGAGATGTGTGCTTTCATCTCACAGAGTTGAATATTTCCTTTGAGCAGTTAGGAAACAGTCTTTTTGTAGTATCTGTAAAGGAATATTTGTGAACTCTTTGAGGTCTATGTTGAAAAAGGCAATAGCTTCACATAAAAACTAGTAAGAAGCATTCTGAGAAACTTCTTTGTGATGTGAGCATTCATCTCACAGAGTTGAACCTGTTTTTGAATGAGCAGTTTGGAAACAGTCTTTTCATATGATCTGCCAAGGGATATTTCTGAGTGGTTTGAAGCCTGTGGTGAAAAAGGAAATATCTCCAAATAAAAACTAGACAGAAGCTTTTTGTGAAACTTCTCTGTGATATGTGCATTCATTTCACACAGTTGAACGTTTCTTTTAATTGAGCAGTTTTGAAACAGTCTTTTTGTATAATCTGTGAAGGAACATTTGGAGCGCATTGAGGCCTATGCTGAAAAAGTAAATATCTTCAACAAAAAAACAGACAGAAGCTTTCTGAGAAAGTTCTTTGGATTTGTGCATTCATGTCACAGATTAGAACCTTTCTTTTGATTGAGCAGTTTTGAAATTGTCTTTTGTAGAATCTGCAAAGGGATATTTGTGAGTGTTTGAGGCCTATGGTGACAAAGGAAATATCTTCGAATCAAAAGCAGACAGAACATTTCTGAGAAACTTCTTTGTGATGTGTGCATTCATGCCACAGATTAGAACCTTTCTTTGGACTGATCAGCTTTGAAACCATCTACTGTAGAGTCTGCAAAGGGATCCTTGTGAGCACTTTGAGGCCTATAGTGAAAAAGGAAATATCTTCATAGAAAAACTAGACAAAATCATTCTGAGAAACATGTTTGTGATGTGTGCATTCATCTCAACAGATTTGAACATTTCCTTTGATTGAGCAGTTTGAATACAGTCTTTTTGTAGATCTGCAGAGAGATATTTGGAGCCCTTTGAGGCCTACGGTGAAAAAGGAAATATCTTCACATAAAAAATAGACAGAAGCTTTTTGGAAACATCTTTGTGATGTGTGCACTCATCTCAAGGAGTTGAACCCTTATTTTGATTGAGGAGTTTCGAATCACACTTTTTGTAGAATCTGCCAAGTGATATTTGGAGCGCTTTGAGGACTATGGTGGAAAAGGAAATGTCTTCACATAAAAACTAGACAGGAGATTTCTGAGAAAGTTCTTTGTGACGTGTGCTTTCATCTCACAGAATTGAACCTTTCCTTCGATTGAGCAGTTTGGAAACAGTCTTTTTGTAGAATCTGCAAGAGGATATTTGTGAGCCCTTTGAGTCCCATAGTGGAAAAGGAAATATCATCACATAGAAACTAGACAGAAGCTTTCTGAGAAAATTCTTGGTGATGTGTTCTTTCATCTCACTGATTTGAACCTTTATTTTGATTGAGCAGTTTGGAAACAGTCTTTTTGTAGAATCTACAAAGGGATATTTTTGAGCCCTTCAATGCCTATGGTGAAAAAAGAAATATCTTCACATAAAAACTAGACATTAGATTTCTGAGAAACTTCTTTGTGACGTGTGCTTTCATCTCACAGGCTTGAACTTTTCTTTCGATAGAGCAGTTTGGAGACAGTCTTTTTGTAGAAACTTCCAAGGGGTATTTGGAGCACTTTCAGGTGCATGGTGAAAAAGGAAATATCTTCACATAAAAATTAGACAGAAGCTTTCTGAGAATGTTTTTTATGATGAGTGCATTCATCACACAGAGTTGAACTTTTCATTGAAATGAGCAGTTTGGAAACAGTTTTTTATGGAATCTGCAAAGGGATATCTGTGAGCCTTTAAGGCCTACAGTGAAATAAGAAATATATTCACATAAAAACTAGACAGAAACACTCTAAGAAACTGCTTTGCGATGTATGTTTCATCTCACAGAGTTGAACCTTCCTTTTGATTGAGAAGATTAGAGGCAGTCTTTTTGTAGAATATACAGTGGGACATTTGTGAGCAGTTTGAGGCCTATGTTGAAAAAGGAAATATCTTAACATAAAAACTAGACAGAGGCTTTTTGAGAAACTTCTTTGTGATGTGCACATGCATCTCACAGAGTTCAAGCTTTCTTTTGATTGAGCAGTTTAGAAACAATTATTGTAGAATTTGCAAACGGATATTTGTGACCCCTTTGAGGCCTCTGGTGAAATAAGAAATATCTTCACATAAAAACTAGACAGAAGCATTCTGAGAAACTTCTTTGTGATGTGTGCTTTCATCTCACAGAGTTGAGCATTTCTTTTAATTGAGAAGTTTGGAAACAGTGTTTGTGTAGAATACACAAATGGATGTTTGAAGCACTTTGAGGCATATGGTGAAAAAGGAAATATCTTCACATAAAAACTAGACAGAAACTTTTTGGGAAACTGCTTTGTGATGTGTACTTTCACCTCAAACAGTTGAAACTTTCTTTTGATTGAGCAGTTTGGAAACAGTCTTTTGTAGATTCTGCAGAGGGATATTTGTGAGCGGTTTGAGGCCTATGGTGAATATGAAATTATCTTCATTTAAAAACTAGGCAGATGCTTTCTAGAAAGTTCTGTATGATGTGTGCATTCATCTTACAGAGTTGAAACTTTCTTTTTATTGAGCAGCTTATAAACAGTCTTTTTTCATAATCTGCAGAGGAATATTTTTGAGCAGTTTGAGGCCTGTGGTGAAAATGGAAATGTCTTCACATAAAAACTAGACAGAAGCATTCTAAGAAGCTGCTTTGTGATGAGTGCATTCATCTCACAGAGTTGAAACTTTATTTTGATTGAACAGTTCGGAAACAGTTTTTTCTGGAATCTGCAAAGGGATATTTGTGACCCTATTGCATCCTATGGTGAAATAGGAAATATCTTCACATAAAAACTATACAGAAGCTTTCTGAGAAACTTCGTTGGGATGTGTGCATTCATCTCACAGAGTTGAATCTTTCCTTTGAGCAGTTTGGAAACAGTCTTTTTGTAGAATCTGCAATTGGATATTTGGAGTGCTTTGACGCCTCTGGTGAAAAAGGAAATACATTCACATAAAAACTAGACTGAAGGTTTCTGAGAAACTTCTTTGTGATGCGTGCATTCATCTCACAGAGTTGAGCCTTTCTTTTGATTGAACAGTTTGGAAACAGTCTTTTTGTACAATCTGCAAAGGGATATTTCTGAGCAATTTGAGGTCTATAGTGAAAAAGAAACACCTTCACATGAAAATTAGACAGAAGTATTCTGAGAAACTTCTTTGTTATGTGTGCATTCATCTCCCAGAGTTGAATCTTTCCTTTGATTGAGCAGTCTGGACACAGTTCTTTGTGGAATCTGCCAAGGGATATTTTTGAGTCCATTGAGGCCTATGGTAAAAAAGGAAATATCTGGACATAAAAACTAGAAAGAAGCATTCTGAGAAAATTCTTTGTGATTTGTGCTTTCATCTCACAGATTCGAACATTTCTTTTGATTGAGCAGTTTGGAAACAGTCTTTTTGTAGAATCTGCGAGTGTATATTTGGAGCGCTTTGAGGCCTATAGTGAAATAGGAAATATCTTCACATAAAAATTAGACAGAAGGATTCTAAGAAACTGCTTTGTGACGTGTGCATTCATCTCACAAAGCTGAAACTTTCTTTTGTTTCAGCAGTTTGTAAACAGGTCTTTGTAGAATCTACAAAGGGATATTTGTGAACCCATTGAGGCCTATGATAGGAAATATCTTCAAATATGAAATATCTTCAAATAAAAACTAGACATAAGCATTGGGAGAAACATCTTTGTGATGCGTGCTTTAGTCTCACAGACTTGAACCTTTCTTTTGATAGATAAGTTTGGAAACAATCTTTTTGTAGAACTGCAAATGGATATCTGGGGTGCATTGAGGCCTATGGTGAAAAAGGAAACATCTTCATATAAACACTAGACTGAAGCTTTCTGAGAAACTTCTTTGTGATGTTTGCATTCATCTCACAGAGTTGAACTTTTCTTTTAATTGAACAGTTTGGAATCAGTCTTTTTTTAGATTCTGCAGATGGATATTTCTGAGCGGTTTGAGGCCTATGGTAAAACAGGAAATATCTTCACATAAAAAGTAGAAAGAAACATTCTGAGAAACTGCTTTTTGACTTCTACCTTCATCTCACACAGCTGAAACTTTCTTTTGATTGAACAGTATGGAAACAGTCGTTTTATAGAATCGGCAAAGGGATATTTGTGAGCCCATTGAGGCCTATGGGGAAATAGGAAATATCTTCACATAAAAACTAGACAGAAACTTTCTGAGAAACTTCTTTGTGATGTGTGCTTTCATCTCACAGAGATAAAACTTTCTTTTGATTGAGCACTATGGAAACATTCTTTTGTAGATTCTGCAGAGTGATATTTGTGAGCAGTTAGAGGCCTATGGTGAAATAGGGAATATCTTCACATTAAAACTAGACAGATGGTTTTTGAGAAACTTCTTTGTGATGTGTGCGTTCATCTCACAGAGTTGAACCTTTCTTTAGATTGAGCAGTTTGGAAACAGTCTTTTAGTACAATCTGCAAAACAATATTTCTGTGTGGTTTGAGGCCCATGGAGAAATAGGAAATATCTTCGCATGAAAACTAGACAGATGCTTTTTGAGAAACTTCTTTGTGATGTGTGCATTCATCTCACAGAGGTGAACCTTTCTTTTGATTGAGGAATTTGGAAACAGTGTTTTTCTACAATATGAAAAGGGATATTTCTGAGCGATTTGAGGCCTATGGTGAAAAACGAATATCTTCTCATAAAAACTAGACAGAAGTTTTTGACAAAACTCTTTGTGATGTGTGGTTTCATCTCACAGAGTTGAACTTTTCTTTTGATTGATCAGTTTGGAAACAGAATTTTTGTAGAATCTGCAAATGGATATTTGGAGCGTTTTGAAGCCTATGGTGAAAAAGGAAATATCTTCACATAAAAACTAGACAGCAGTTTTCTGAGGAACTTCTTTGTGATGCGTGCATTCATCTAATGGAGTTGACCATTTCTTTGGATTGATCAGTTTGGAAACAGCCTTTTTATGGAATCTGCAAAAGGATATTTGGAGCGCTTTTGTGCCTACAGTAAAAAAGGAAATATCTTCACATAAAAACTAGACTGAAGTTTTCTGAGAAACTTCTTTGTGATGTGTGCATTCATCTCACAGAGTTGAACGATTCTTTTGATTGAGAGGTTAGGAAGCAGACTTTTTGTAGATTCTTCAGAAGTATATTTGTGAGCAGTTTGAGGCCTATGGTGATAAAGGAAATATCTTCACATAAAAACTACACAGAAGCTTTCAGAGAAACTGTTTTGTGATGTGTGCATTCATCTCACAGATTTGAACCTTTCTTTTGATTGAGCAGTTTGGAAACAGACTTTTTGTAGAATTTGCAGAGGGATAATTGTGAGCCTTTTGAGGACTATAGTGAAAATGGAAATATCTTCACATAACAACTAGACACAAGCACTCTGAGAAACTGCTTTGCAATGTGTGCATTCGTCTCACAGAGTTGAACCTCTCTTTTGATAGAGTGGTTTTGGATCACTGTTTTGTAGAATCCGCAAACGGATATTTGCGATCCATTGAGGACTGTTGTAAAATGGGAATTATCATCTCATAAAAGCTAGACAGAAGCATTTAGAGAAACTTCTTTGTGAAGTGTGCATTCATCTCAAAGATTTGAACCTTTCTATTCATTAAGCAGTTTGGAAACAGTGTTTTTGTGGAATATGCTGGGGGATAATTGTGAGTGGTTTGAGGCGTTTGGTGAAAAAGGAAATATCATCACATAAAAACTGGACAGAAACTTTCTGAGAAACCTCTTAGTGTTGTGTGCATTCTTCTCAAATATTTGAACCTTTCTTTTTGATGGAGCAGTTTGGAAACAATCTTTTTGTAGATTCCACAGAGGGATATTTGTGGGCGGTTTGAGGCCTATGGTGAAAAAGGAAATATATTCACATAAACACTAGACAGATGCTTTTTGAGAAACTTCTTTGTGATGTGCGCTTTCATCTGACAGAGTTGAACATTTCTTTGGATTGAGCAGTTTGGAAACAGTCTTTTTGTAGAATCTGCAAAGTTCTATTTCTGAGAGGTTTAAGGCACGTGGTGAAATAGGAAATATCTTCACATAAAAACTAGACAGAAGTTTTCTGAGAAAGTTCTTTGTGATGTGTGATTTCATCTCACATAGTTGAACCTTTCTTTTGACTGAGCAGTTGGGAAACAGTCTTTTTGTAGAATCTGCAAATGGATATTTGGAGCACTTTGAGGCCTCTGGTGAAAAAGGTAATATCTTCACATAAAAACACAACAGAAGATTTCTGAGAAACTTCTTTGTGATGTTTGCTTTCATCTCACGGAGTTGAAACTTTCTTTTGATTGAGCTGTTTGGAAACAGTCTTTTTGTAGAATTTGCAGAGGATATTTGTGAGCTGTTTGAGGCCTATGGTGAAAATGGAAATATCTTCACATGAAAACTAGACAGAAGCTTTCTGAGAAACTTCTTTGTGATGCGTGCATTCAGCTCACAGAGTCGAACTTGTCTTTTGATTGAGCATTTTGGAAACAGTCTTTTTATAATCTGCAGAGAGATATTTGTGAGCGGTTTGAGTCCTATGGTGAAAATGATATATCTTCACATAAAAAATAGACAGAAACATTCTGAGAAACTGCTTTGTGATGTGTACATTCATGTCACACAGTTGAACCTTTCTTTCAACTGAGCAGCTTGGAAACAGTTTATTGTGGAATCTGCAAAGGGATATTAGTGACCCCATTGAGGCCTATGTTGAAATAGGAAATATCTCCAGATTAAAATTAGAGAGAAGCATGCTGAGAAACTGCTTTGTGATGTGTGGTTTCATCTCACACAGTTGAACCTTTCTTTTGATTGAGCAGATTGGAAACAGTTTTTTGTGGAATCTGCAAAGTATATTGTTGAGCCTATTGAGACCTATTAGGTGGTAGGAAGTGTCTTCAAATAGAAACTATACAGAGGCATTCTGAGAAACTTATTTGTGATGTGTGATTTCATCTAACACAGTTGAAACTTTCTTTTGATTGAGCAGTTTTGAAACAGTCTTTTTGTAGAATCTGCAAAAGTGTATTTTGAGCACTTTGAGGCCTGTGGTGAAAAAGGAAATATCTTCACATGAAAACTAAACAGAAGATTTCTGAGAAACTTCTTGGTGATGTTTGCTTTCAGCTCACAGAGTTGAACTTTTCTTTTGATTGAGCAGTTTGGAAACAGTCTTTTTGTGGAATTTTCAGAGGGATATTTGTGAGCTGTTTGAGGCCTCTGGTGAAAATGGAAATATCTTCTCATAAAAACTAGACAGAAGCATTCTGAAGAACTGCTTTGTGATGTGTGCATTTATCTCACAGAGTTGAAGCTTTCTTTTGATTGAGCAGTTTGGAAACAGTTTTTTGTGGAATCTGCAAAGGGATAATTTTGACCCCTTTGAGGCCCATGGTGAAATAAGAAATACCTTCAGATTAAAACGAGACAGAAGCATTCTGAGAAACTTCTTTGTGATGTGTTCTTTCATCTCCCAGAGTTGAAACTTTGTTTTGATTGAGCAGTTTGGAAACAGTTTTTTGTGGAATCTGCAAAGTATATTGTTGAGCCTATTGAGGCTTATGATGAAATAGGAAATATCTTCACATCAAAACAATACAGAAGCATTCTGAGAAACTTATTTCTGATGTGTGCTTTCATTTCACAAAGTTGAACCTTTCTTTTGAGAGAGAAGTTTGGAAAGAATCTTCTTGTAGAATCTGCAAATGGATTTTTGGAGCACATTGAGGCCTATAGTGAAAAAGGAAATATCTTCACATAAAAACTAGACAGAAGCTTTCTCAGAAACTTCTTTGTGATGTCTGCATTCATCTCACAGAGTTGAAAATTTCTTTTGATTGAGCAGCATGGAAGCAGTCTTTTTGAAGTTTCTGCAGAGGGATATTTGTGAGTGGTGTGAGGCCTATGGTGAAAAAGGAAATATCTTCACATAAAAACTAGACTGACGTTTTTTGAGAAACTTCTTTGTCATGTGTTCATTCATCTTACATAGTTGAAACTCTCTTTTGATTGAGTAGTTTAGAAAAAGTCTTTTTATACAATCTGAAACGGGATATTTCAGAGCAGTTTGAGGCCTATGGTGAAAAAGGAAATATCTTCACATAAAAACTATACAGAAGATTTCTGAGAAAATTCTTTGTGAAGAGAGCTTCCATCTCACAGAGTTCACCCTTTCCTTTGATTGAGCAGTTTGGAAACAGTCTTTTTGCGGAATCTGCAGACGGCTACTTGGAGCGCTTTGTGGCCTATGGTAAAAAAGGAAATATCTTCACATAAAAACTAGACAGAATCTTTCTGAGAAACTTCTTTGTGACGTGTGCATTCCTCTCACAGAGTTGACATTTCTTTTGACTGAGCAGTTTGCAAACAGTGTTTTTGTAGTATCTGCAGGAGAATATTTGGAGCACTTTGAGGCCTATGGTGAAAAAGGGAATATCTTCACATAAAAACTAAATAGAAGATTCCTGAGTAACTTCTTTGTGATGTGTGCATTCATCTCACAGAGTTGAACCTTCCTTTTGCTTGATCTGTTTGGAAACAGTCTTTTGTAGAACCTTCAAATGGACATTTGGAGCATTTTGAGGCCTATAGTGAAAAAGGAAATTTCTTCACATAAAAAAATAGACAGAAGATTTCTGAGAAACATCTTTGTGATGTGCACATTCATCTCACAGAGTTGAACCATTCTTTTGATTGAGCAGTTTAGAAAAAGTATTTTGGTGGAATCTGCAAATAGATACTTGGAGCGCTTTGAGGCCTATGGTGAAAAAGGAACTATCTTCACGTAAAAATTAATGGAAGGTTTCTGAGAAACATCATTGTGATGTGTGCATTCACCTCACAGAGTTGAAACTTTCTTTTCATTAAGCCATTTGGAAAGAGTCTTTTTGTAGAATCTGTAAATGGATATTGGCAGCAATTTGAGGCCTATGGTGAAAAAGAAAATGTCTTCACATAAAAAGCAGACAGAAGATTTCTCAGAAACTTCTTTGTGATGTGTGCATTCACCTCAAAGTGTTGAACCATTCTTTTGATTGAGCAGTTAGGAAACAGTCTTTTGTAGAATCTGCAAATGGATATTTGGAGCACTTTAAGGCCCATGGTGAAAAAGGAGATATCTTCACATAAAAACGAAAGGGAAGATTTGTGAGAAACTTCTTTGTGATGTGTGCATTCATCTCACAAAGATAGAACTTTCTTTCGATTGAGCAGTTTGGAAAAAGTCTTTTTGTGGAATCTGCAAATGGATATTTGGAGTGCTTTCAGGCCTATGGTGAAAAAGGAAATATATTCATATAAAAACTAGACAGAAGCTCTCTGAGAAACTTGTTTGCGATGTGTGCATTCATCTCACAGAGTTGAACCTTTCTTTTTCTTGAGCAGTTTGGAAACAGACTTTTTGTAGAATCTACAACGGGATATTTGTGAGCCTATTGAGGCCTATGGTGAAATAGAAAATATCTTCACATAAAAAGTAGACAGAAACTTTCTGAGAAACATTTTTGTGTCCTTTCATCTCAAACAGCTGAATCTTTCTTTTGATTGAGCAGTTTGGAAACAGTCTTTTGGTAGAATCTGCAAATGGATATTTGGGGTGCTTTGAGGCCTACGTTGAAATAGGAAATATCTTCACATCAAAACTAGACAGAAGCTTTCTGAGAAACTTCACTGGGATGTGTGCTTTCATCTCACAGACTTGAATCTTTCTTTTCATTGAGCAGTTTGGAGACAGTCTTCTTGTAGAATCTGCAAACGGATATTTGTGAGCCCAGCGAGTCTTATGATGAAACAGGCAATATCTTCACATAAAAAGTAGACAGAATGTTTATGAGAAACTTCTTTGTGGTGCGTGCATTCATCTCTCAGAGTGGAATCTTTATTTTGATTGAGCAGTTTGCAAACAGTCTCTTTGTAAAATTTGCAGTAGGATATTTGTGAGTGCTTTGAGGCCTATGTTGAAAATGGAAATATCTTCACATAAAAACTAGAAAGAAGCATTCTGAAAAGCTTCTTTGTGATGTGTGCATTCATCTCACGGAGTTGCACCTTTCTTTTGATAGAGCAGTTTGGAAACTGTTTTTTGTAGAATCTGCAAAGGGATATTTGTGACCCCATTGAGTCCTATGGTGAAATAGGAAACAGCTTCACATAAAAACTATACCGAAGCATTCTGAGAAACTTCTTCATGATGTGTGCTTTCAACTGAAAGAGGTGAAACTTTCTTTTCAATGAGAAGTTTGGAAACAGTCTTTTTGTATAACTTGCAAATTGATATTTGGAGCGATTTGAGGCCTATGTTGAAAAAGGGAATATCTTCACATAGAAACTAGACTGAAGCTTTCTGAGAAACTTCCTTGTCATGTGTGCATTCATCTCACAGATTTGAACCTTTCTGTTGATTGAGCAATGTGGGAACAGTCTTTTTGTAGATTCTGGACAGGGCTATATGTGAGCGGATTGAGGCCTATTGTGAAAAGGAAATATCTTCACATAAATACTAGACAGATGGGTTTTGAGAAACTTCTTTGTGATATGTGCATTCATCTCACAGAGTTGAACCTTTCTTTTGTTGGAGCTTTTTGGAAAGAGTCTTTTAGTACAATCTGCAAAGTGATAATTCTGAGCAGTTTGAGGCCTATGGTAAAAAAGAAATATCTTCATAGAAAAACTAGATGGAAGCTTTCTGAAAAACTTCTTTTTGATGTGTGCTGTCATCTCACAGTGTTGAACCATTCTTTTGATTGAGCAGTTTGGAAAGAGTCTTTTTGTAGAATCTACAAATGAATATTTGGAGCTCCATGATGCCTGTGGTGAAAAAGGAAATATCTTCATATAAAATATAGACAGAAATTTTCTGACAACCTTCTTTGTGATGTGTGCATTCATCTCACAGAGTTGAACCTTTCTTTTGATTGAGCAGTGTGGAGACAGTCGTTTGGAACTATCTGCCAATGGATAGTTTGGGCAATTTGAGTCCTATGATGAAAAAGGAAAAAATATCTTCACATAAAAACTAAACAGAAGCTTTCTGAGAAACTTCTATGCGATTTGTGCTGTCATCTCACATAGTTGAACATTTCTATGGAGTGAGTGGTTTGGAAGCAGTCTTTTTGAAGAATCTGCAAATGGTTATTTGGAGCCCTTTGAGGCCTACAGTGAAAAAGGAATCATCTTCAAACGAAAACTAGACAAAAGCTTCTGAGAAACTTCTTTATGATGTGTGCATTCATCTCACAGAGTTGAATCTCTCTTTTGATTGAGCAGTTTGGAAGCAGTCTCTTTGTAGAATTTGCAGAGGGATATTTGAAGCCATTTGAGGCCTACGGTGAAAATGGAAATATCTTCACATAAAAGAAGACAGAAGCATTCTGAGAAACCGTTTTGTGATGTGTGCATGCATCTCACAGGTTGAACATTTCTTTTGATTCCGCAGTTTGGAAACAGTTTTTTCCAGAATCTGTAAAGGGATATTTGTGACCCCATTAAGACCTGTGGTGAAATAGGAAATATCTTCACATAAAACGAGACAGAAGCATTCTGAGAAACTTCTTTGTGATGTGTGCTTTCATCTCACAGAGTTGAATCTTTCTGTTGATTGATCAGTTTGGAAACAGATTTTTTGTAGAATCTGCAAAGGGATATTTGTAAGCCCTTTGAGGCTCATGTTGAAATGAGAAGTATCTTCACAAAAATACTAGACATAATGTTTCTGAGAAACTTATGATGTGTGCTTTCATCTCACATAATTGAACCTTTATTTTAACTGAGCAGCTTGGAAACATTCCTTTTGTAGAATCTGCAAATGGATATTTGGAGCACTTCGAACACTATGGTGAAAAAGGAAATATCTTCACATAAAAACTAGACAGAAGCTTTCTGAGAAGCTTCTTTCTTATGTGTGCATGCATCTCACTGAGGTGAAATTTTATTTTGTTTGAGCTATATGGAAACAGCCTTTTTGTGGAATTTGCAGAGGGATATTTTTGAGTGGTTTCAGAACTATGTTGAAAAAGGAAATATCTTCACATAAAAACTAGACAGAAGCACTCTGAGAAACTTCTCTGTGATGTGTGCACTCAGCTCAAAGACTTGAAACTTTCTTTTGATTGAGCAGTTTGGAAACAGTTTTATGTGGTATCTGCAAAGGGATATTTGTGAGCCCATTGAGGCCTATGGTGAAATAGGAAATATCTTCACATAAAAACTACACAGAAACTTTCTGAGAAACTTCTTTGTGATGTGTGCTTTAATTTCACAGAATTGAACTTTTCTATTGCCTGAGCAGTTTGGAAACAGTCTTTATGTAGAATCTGCAAATTGATATTTGGAGCGCTCTGAGCCCTGTGGTTAAAAAAGGAAATATCTTCATATAAAAACAAGACAGAAGCTTTCTGAGAAACTACTTTTTCATGTGTGCATTCATCTCACAGAGTTGAACCATTGTTTTGATTGAGCTGTTTGCAAACAGTCTTTTTGTAGTTTTTGCAGAGGGATATTTGTGAGCGGTTTTAGTCCTTTGGTGAAAATGCAAATATGTTCATATAAAAACTTGACAGAATAATTCTGAGAAACCACTTTCTGATGTGTGCATTCATCTCACAAAGTTGAACCTTTCTTTTGATTGAGCAGTTTGGAAACACTTTTCTCAAGAATCTGCAAAGAGATATTTGGGAGCCCAATGAGGCCTGTGGCGAAATAGGAAATATCTTCACTAAAAACTAGACAGAAGCATTCTGAGGAACTTCTTTGTCTTGTGTCCTTTCGTCTCACTAAGTTGAAACTTTATTTTGATTGAGAAGTTTGGAAACAGTCTTTTGTGGAATCTGCAATTGTAAGTTTGGAGCTCTTTCAGGCGTATGCTGAAAAAGAAAATATCTTCACATGAAAACTAGACTGAAGCTTTCTGAAAAACTACTCTGTTATGTGGGCATTCATCTGCAGAGTTGAACCTTTCTTTTGATTGAGCAGTTTGCAAACCGTCTTTTTGTACAATCTGCAAAGGGATATTACTGAGAGGTTTGAGGCCCATTGTGAAATAGGAAATATCTTCGCATAAAAATTAGACAGAAGCTTTCTGGGAAACTTCTTTGTCATATCTGCTTCCATCTTACAGAGTTGAACCTTCCTTTTGATTGAGCAGTTTGGAAACAGTCTTTTTGTAGAATCTGCAAATGGATATTTGTAGCAGTTTGAGGCGTATGGTGAAAAAGGAAATATCTTCATATAGAAACTAGAAAGAACCTTTTGAGAAACTTCTTTGTGATGTGTGCATTCATCTCACAGAGTTAAACCTTTCTTTTGATTGAGCAGGTTGGAAACAGTCTTTTGTAGAATTTGCAGAGTGATGTTTGTGAGCGGTTTGAGGCCTATGGTGAAAATGGAAATATCTTCACATAAAAAATAGGCAGAAGAATTTTGAGAAATTGCTTCATGATGTGTGCATTCATCTCACAGAGTTGAATCTTTCTTTTCATTGAGCAGTTTGGAAACAGTCTTTTTGTAGAATCTGCAAATTGATATTTGGAGAGCTTTGAGGCCTGTAGTGAAAAAGGAAATATCTTCACATAAAAACTAGACTGAAGCTTTGTGAGAAACTGCTTTGTGATGTGTGCATTCATGTCACAGAGTTGAAACTTTCTTTTGATTGAGCAGTTTGGAAACAGTCTTCTGGTAGATTCCGCTGTGTGATATTTGTCAGTGGTTTGAGGCCTTTGGTGAGAAAGGAAATATCTTCACATAAAAACCAGATAGACGCTTTTTGAGAAACCTCTTTGTAATTTGTTTATTCATCTCACAGAGTTGAAACTTTCTTTTGATTGAGCAGTTTGGAAACCGTCTTTTTGTACAATCTGCAAAGGGATATTTGTGAGCAGTTTGGGGCCTATGTTGAAAAAGGAAATATCTTCACATAAAAACTAGACAGCCGTTTTTGAGAATCTTCTTTGTGATGTGTGCATTCATCTCACAGAGTTCAACATATCCTTTGATTGAGCAGTTAGGAAACAGTCTTTTTGTGTAATCTGAAAAGGGATATTTCTGAGTGGTTTGAGGCCTATGGTGCAAAAGGAATATCTTCACATAAAAACTAGACAGAAGCATTCTGAGAAACTGCTTTGTGATGTGAGCATTCATCTTACATAGCTGACCCTTTCTTTTGGATGAGCAGTTTGGAAACAGTCTTTTTGTATAATCTGAAAAGGGATATTTCTGAGCAGTTTCAGGCCTATGGTGAAAAAAATATATATTCACAAAAAAACCAGACAGAAGCATTCTGAGAAACTGCTTTGTGATGTGAGCATTCATCTTACATAGCTGACCCTTTCTTTTGAATGAACAGTTTGGAAACAGTCTTTTTGTAACATCTGCAAAGGGATATTTCTGAGCGGTTTCAGGCCTATGGTGAAAAAAATATATATATTCACAGAAAAACTAGACAGAACCTTTCTGAGAAACTTCTTTGTGATGTGTGCTTTCATCTCAGAGAGTTGAACCTTTCTTTTGATTGAGCAGTTTGGAAAGTGTCTTTTTATAGAATCTGCAAGTGGATATTTGGAGTGCTTTGAGGCCTACGGTGAAAAAGGAAATATCTTCACATAAAAAATATACAGAAGCTTGGTCAGAAACTTCTTTGTGATGTGTGCATTCATCACACAGAGTTGAACGTTTCTTTTGCTTCAGCAGTTTGGAAACTTTCTTTAGAATCTGCAGAGGGATATTTGTGAGCACTTTGAGGCATATGGTGAAAAAGCAAATATCTTCACATAAATACTAGACAGAAGCATTCTGAGAAACTTCTCTGTGATGTGTGATTTCATCTCACCGAGTTGAGCCTTTCTTTTGAGTGAGCAGTTTCAAAACAGTCTTTTTGTAGTATCTGCAGGGGGATATTTTTCAGTGATTTTAGGCCTATGGTGAAAAATGAAATATCTTCAGATAAAAACTAGACAGAAGCATTCTGAGAAACTTCTCTGTGATGTGGGCATTCATTTCACACAGTTGGACTTTCTTTTGTTTGACCACTTTGGAAACAGTCTTTTTGTAGAATCTGCAAACAGATATTTCTTAGCGGTTTGAGGCCTACAGTGAAAATAAATATCTTCACATAAAAACTCGAGAGAAGCTTTCTGAGAAACTTCCTTGTGATGTGTGCATTCATCTCACAGAGTTGAACCTATCCTTTGATTGAGTACTTTGGAAACAGTATTTTTATACAATCTGCAAAAGGATATTTCTGAGCTCTTTGAGGCCTATGGTGAAAAGGAAATATCTTCACATGAAACTAGACAGAATCATTCTGAGAAACTTCTTTGTGATGTGTGCATTCATCTGACACATTTGAAACTTTCTTTTGATTGAGCAGTTTGGAAACAGTCTTTTTGTAGAATCTGCAAGGGAATATTAGTAAACCCCTAGAGGACTATGGTGAAATAGGAAATATCTTCACATAAGAACTAGACAGACGCTTTCTGAGAAACTACATTGTGATGTGTGCCTTCAACTCACAGAGTTGAACATTTCTTTTGATGGAGCAGCTTGGAAACAGTCTTTTTGTAGAATCTGCATATGTATATTTGGAGTGCTTTGAGGCCTATGGTGAAAAAGGAAATAACTTCACATAAAAACTGGACAGAAACTTTCTGAGAAACTTCTTTGTGATGTGTGTTTTCATCTCACAAAGTTGAACCTTTCTTTAGATTGAGCAGTTTGGAAACAGTCTTTTTGTAGAATCTGCAAATGGATATTTGGAGCTTTTTGAGGACTGTGGTGAAAAAGGAAATAACTTCACATAAAAACTAGACAGAAGATTTCTGATAATCATCTTTCTGATGTATGCATTCATCTCACAGATTTGAACATTTCTATTGATTGAACATTATGGAAACAGTCTTTTTTTAGAATCTGCTGACAGATGTTTGTGAGCAGTTTTACACCTACTGTGAAAGAGAAAATATCTTCACATTAAAACTAGGCAGAAGCATTCTGAGAAACTTATTTGTGATGTCTGCATTCATCTCACAGAGTTGAACCTTTCCTTTGGTTGAGCAGTTTGGAAATAGGACTCAAAGCACTCTAAATATCAATTTGTGGATTCTACAAAAAGACTGTTTCCAAAATGTTCTATCAAAAGAAAGGTTCAACTTTGTGAGATGAATAAACACATCACAAAGAAGTTTCTCCAAATACATCTGTCTAGTTTTTATATGAAGATATTTCTTTTTCACCATATGCCCCAAACTATTCAGAAGTATCCATTTGCAGATTGTAAAATAAACTGTTTCTTAGCTGCTCAATGAAAAGAAAGATTCAACTGTGTGAGATGAATTCAAATAACACAAGGAAGTTTCTCAAAATGCTTCTGTCTAGTTCTTATGTGAAGATATATCCATTTTCACCATAGGCCTTAAAGCGCTCCAAATATCCATTGGTAGATTCGGCAAAAAGATTCTTTCAAAACTGCTCAATCAAAAGAAAGGTTCAACTCTGTGAGATGAAAGCACTCACTACATTGAAGTTTCTCTGAAGGCTTCTTTCTGGTTTTTATGTGAAGATATTTCCTATTTCACAACAGACCTCAAAGGGCTCACAAATATCCCTTTGCAGATTCTACAAAAAGACTGTTTCTACACTGGTCAATCAAAATAAAGGTTCAACTCTGACAAGAATGCACACATCACAAAGAAATTTCTCAAAATGCTTCTGTCTAGTTTTTATGTGAAGATATTTCCTTTTCAACGTAGACCTCAAAATGCTCAGAAATATCCCTTTGCCGATTGTACAAAAAGACTGTTTCCAAACTGCTCAGTGAAAAGAACGTTTCCACTCAGTGAGATGAATGGAAACATCACAAAGAAGTTTCTCAATCTTCTCTCTAGTTTTTATAAGAAGATATTTCCTTTTTCACCATAGTCCTCAAACTGCACACAAATATCCCTTTGCAGATTCTACAAAAAACTATTTCTAAACTACTGAATCAAAAGAAAGTTCAACTCTGTGAGATGAATGTGCACATCATAAAGAACTTTCTCAGAATGCCTCTGTCTTGTTTTTATGTGAGGATATCTCCTTTATCACCATAGGCCTCAAACTGCTCACAGCAATCCTTCTGCAGATTATAAAAAAAGACTGTCTCCAAAATGCTCAATCAAAACAAACGTTCAACTCTATGAGGTGAAAGCAGACATCACAAAGAAGTTTCTCAGAATGCTTCTGCCTAGTTTTTATATGAAGATATTTCCTATTTCACCCCAGGACTCAATGGGCTCACAAATATCCATTTGCAGGTTCTACAAAAAGACTGTTTCCCAACTGCTCAATCAAAAGAAACGTTCAACTCTGTGAGATGTATGCACACATCACAAAGAAGTTTCTCAGGAAGTTTCTGTCTAGTTCTTAAATAAAGACATTTCCTTTTTCACCGTAGGCCACATAGTGCAGCAAATACCCATTTGCAGATTCTACAAATGGACTGTTTCCAAACAGTCAATCAAAACAAAACTTCATCACAATGAGATGAAAGCACACTTCACCAAGAAGTTTCTCAGAAACCTGCTGTCTAGTTTTAATGTGAAGATATTTCGTATATCACATATGGCTCAATGGGCTCACAAATATCCCTCTGCAGATTCTACAGAAAGACTGTTTCCAAACTGCTCAAACAAAAGAAATTTTCAACTCTGTGAGATGAATGTACACATCACAAAGATATTTCGCAGAAATCTTCTGTCTAGTTTTTATGGGAAGATATTTGCTTTTTCAACATAGGCCTCAAAATGCTCAAAATATCCATTTGCTGATTCTACAAAAAGACTGTTTCCAAACTGCTCAATCAAAATAAATGTTCAACTCTGTGAGATGAATGCTCACATCCCAAAGAAGTTTCTCAGAAAAATTCTGTCTAGTTTTTAAGTGAAGATATTTCCTATTTCACCACAGGCCTCAAACTGCTCACAAGTATCCCTTTGTAGATCCGACAAACAGACTGTTTCCAAACTGCTCAATCATAAGAAATGTTCAACTCTGTGAGAAGAATGCACACATCACAAAGAAGTTTCTGAGAATGCTTCTGTCTAGTTTTTATGTGAAGATATGTCCTTTCCAATATAGGCCTCAAAACGCTCAGAAATATTCGTTTGCCGATTGTACAAAAAGACGGTTTCCAAACTGCTCAGTAAAAAGGTTTCAACTCAGTGAGGTGAATGCAAAAATCACGAAGAAGTTTCTCAAAAATCTTCTGTCTAGTTTTTATGGGGAGATATTTCCTTTTTCACCATAGTCCTCAAACCACTCCCAAATATCGCTTTGCAGATTCTACACAAAGACTGTTTGCAAACTGAACAATCAAAAGAAAGGTTCAACCCTGTGGGATGAATGCACACATCAAAAAGAAGTTTCTCAGAAAGCTTCTATTTTTTATGTGAAGATATTTCGTTTTTCAACGTAGGCCTCAAAGTGCTCCAAATATCCATTTGCTGATTTTACAAAAGGACTGTTTCCAAACTGCTCAATCAAAAGAAAGTTTGAACTCTGTGAGATGAATGCTCATTTCCAAAGAAGTTTCTCTGAAAGATTCTGTCTAGTTTTCATATGAAGATATTTTCTATTTCACCATAGGACTCAAACTGCTCACAAATATCCTTTTGCAGATCCTACAAAAAGACTGTTTCCCAACTGCTCAATCATAAGAAAGGTTCAACTCTGTGAGAAGAATGCACACATCACAAAGAACTTTCTCAGAATGCTTCTCTCTAGTTTTTATTTAAAGATATTTCCTTTTCAACATAGGCCTCAAAATGCTCAGGAGTATCCCTTTGCTGATTGTACAAGAAGACTGTTTCCAAACTGCTCAGTGAAAAGAAAGCTTCAACTTCGTGAGATGAATGCAAACATCACAAAGAAGTTTCTCAAAAATCTTCTGTCTAGTTTTTATGGGAAGATATTTCCTTTTTCACCATAAGCCTCAAACCGCTCACAAATATCCCTTTGCAGATTCTACAAAAAGACTGTTTCAAACTACTCAATGAAAAGAAACGTTCAACTCTATCAGATGAAAGCACACATCACAAGGAAGTTTCTCAGAAAGCTTCTCCCCAGTTTTTATATGAAGATATTTTGTATTTCACTGTAGGTCTCAAAGCACTCCAAATATCCATATGCAGATTCTACAAAAAGAATGTTTCCAAACTGCTCAATGACAAGAAAGGTTGAACTCTGTGAGATGAATGCACACTTCACTAAGAAGTTTCTCAGAAAGATTCTGTCTAGTTTTTATATGAGGATATTTCATTTTCACAATATACCTCAATGTGGTACAAATGTCCCTTTGGCAGATTCTACAAAAAGTCTGCTTCCAAACTACTCAATCAAAAGATAGGTTCAACTGTTTGAGATGAATGCACACATCAAAAGAAGTTTCTCAAAAATCTTCTGTCTATTTTTTATGTGAAGATATTTCCTTTTTCACCATAGGCCTCCAACTGCTCAAAAATATCCCTTGGCAGATTATAAAAAAGGACTTTTCCAAAATGCTTAATGAAAACAAAGGTTCAACTCTGTGAGAGGAATGCTCACATCACAGAGTTTTCTCGAAAACCTTCTGTCTACTTATTATTTGAAGATATTTACATTTTCACAGTGGGCAACAAAGTCCTCCAATTATCCCTTTGAAGATTCTACAAAAAGAGTGTTTCCAAACTGATCAATCAAAGAAAAGTTCAATTCTGTGAGATGAAAGCACGCAACACAGAGTAGTTTCTCTGAAAGCTTCTTCTACTTTTTATGTGAAGATATTTCCTTTTCCACCATAGGCCTCAATGCGCCCCAAATATCCCTTGGCAGATCCTACAAAAAGGCTGTTTCCAAACTGCTCAATCAAAAAAAAAGCCTCAACTCTGTGAGATGAATGCACACATCTCAAAGCAGTTTCTGAGAAAGCTTCTGTGTAGTTTTTTTGTGGAGATATTTCCTTTCTATCCATGGGCCCCAAATTGCTCTGAATATCAATTTACAGATTCTACAAAAAGACTGTTTCCAAACTGCTCAACCAAAAGAAAGGTTCAACTCTGTGAGATGAAAGCACACATGACAAGGAAGTTTCTCAGAACATTCCTGTCTATTTTTTAAGTGAAGATTTTTCTTATTCAACACGTGCCTCAAAGCACTCCAAATATCCCTTTGCAGATTCTACAAAAAGACTGTTTCCAAACTGCTCAATGAAAAGAAAGATTCAACTCTGTGAGATGAATGCACACATCACAAAGGAGTTTCTCATAAAGCTTCTGTCTAGCTTTTATGTGAAGAATCTTCCTTTTTCACCACAGGCCACAAAGCACTCCAAATATCCATTTGCAGATTCTACAAAAAGACTGTTTGCAAACTGCTCAATGAAAGCAAAAGTTGAACTCTGGGAGATGAATGGACACATCACAAAGAAGTTTCTCAGAAAGGTTTGGTCTAGTTTTTATGTGTAGATATTTTGTTTTTCACCATTCACCCCAAAGAGCAACAAACATCCCTTCGCAGATTCTACAAAAAGACTGTTTCCAAACTGTTCAATCAGATAAAAGGGTCAGCTCTGCGAGAAGAAGCCACACATCACAAGAAGTTTCCCAGAAATCTTCTCTCTAGTTTTTATGTTGAGGTATTTCCCTTTTCACCATTTGTCCCAAAGAGCTCCATATATCCATTCACAGATTCTCAAAAAGACTGTTTCCAAACTGATAAATCAAAAGAAATGTTAAACTCTGTGAGAAGAAATCTCACAACAGAGAGAAGTTCCTCAGAAAACTTCTTTCTAGTGTTTATGTGAAGATATTTCCTTTTTCAACATAGGCCTCAGACCGCTCACAAATATCCCTTTTCAGATTCTACAAAAAGACTGCTTACAAACTCCTCAATCAAGAGAAAGGTTCAACTCTCTGAGATGAATGCACATATCACAAAGAAGTTTCTCAGAATGCTTCTTTCTACTTTTTATGTGAAGCTATTTCCTTTTTAACTATAGGCCCCAAAACCCTCACAGTTATCCCTTTGTAGACTCTACAAAAATACAGCCTCCAAACTCCTCAATCAAAGGAAATCTTTAACTCTGTGAGATGAATGCACACATCACAAAGAATTTTATCAGAATAGTTCTGTCTATATTTCATGTGAATATATTACCTTATTTTCCACAGGCCCCAAAGCACTCTAAATATCCCTTTGCAGATTCCACAAAAAGACTATTTCCAAAATGCTAAATCAAAAGGAAGGTTCAACCCTGTGAGATGAATGCACACATCACAAAAAATTTCTCAGAAAGCTTATGTCTAGTTTTTACATGAAGATATTTCCTTTCTCACGGTAGCCCACAAAGGCCTCACAAATATCCCTTTTCAGATTCTACAAAAACACGGTTATCAAACTGCTCAATCAAAAAACTGCTTCGGCTCTGAAAGACGACTGCACACATCACAAAAAGTTGCTCAGCAGGCTTCTGTCTAGTTTTTCTGCGAATATTTTCCTTATTCACTATAGTCCTCAAAGCGCTCCAAGTATGCCCTTGCAGATTCTGCAGAAAGACTGTTTCCAAACTGCTCAATGAAAGGAAAGGTTGAAATCTGTGAGATGAATGCACACATCACAAAGAAGTTATTCGGAAACCTTATGTCTAGTTTTTATGTGAAGCTATTTCCTTTTTCACCATAGGCCTCAAGGCGCTCCAAATATCCATTTGCAGACTCTACAAAAAGACTGTTTCCAAACTGCTCAATGAAAAGAAAGTTTGAACTCTGTGAGATGAATGCACACATCACAAAGAAGTTTCTCAGAAAGTTTCTGTCTAGTTTTTATTTGAAGATATTTTCTTTTTCAACAGAGGCCTCAAAGTGCTCCAATATCCCTTTGCAGATTCTACAAAAGGAGTGTTTCCAAACTGATCTATCAAAAGAAAGGTTCAACACTGTGAGATGAAAGCACACAACACAGACAAGTTTCTCACAAAGCTACTGTCTAGTTTTTATATGAACACATTTCCTTTATCAACATAGACCTCAAAGGACTCCAGAAATATCCATCTGGAGATCTACAGAAAGACTGTTTCCAAGTGCTGAATCAAAAGTAAGGTTCAACTCCTTGAGACTAATGCACACATCACAAAGAATTTTCCCAGAAAGATTCTGTCTATTTTTTATGTGAAGATATTTCCTTTTTAACCATACGCCTCAAACTGCTACAAGTATCCCTTTGCAGATATTTCAAAAAGATGGTTTCAAAACTGCTTAATCAAAACAAAGGTGCAACTCTCTGAGATGAAAGCACACATCACAAAGAAGTTTCTCAGAAAGTCTCTGTCTAGTTTTTATTTGAAGATATTTCCTTTTTCACCACAGGCCTCAAAGTGCTCCAATATCCCTTTGCAGATTCTACAACAAGACTGTTTCCAAACTGATCAATCAAAAGAAAGTTTCAACACTGTGAGATGAAATCACACAACACAGAGAAGTTTCTCAGAAGACTTCTGTCTAGTTTTTATGTGAAGATATTACCTTTTTCACAATAATCCTCAAACCGCTCACAAATATCAATTTGCATATTCTACAAACAGACTGTTTCCAAACTGCTCTATTAAAAGAAAGTTTCAACTCTGTGAGACGAATGCACACATCACAAAGAAGTTTCTCACAAAGTTTCGGTCTAGTTTTAATGTGAAGATATTTCCTTTTTCAACACAGGCCTCAAAGTGATCACAAATATCCCTTCACAGATTCTACAAAAAGACGGTTTCCAAACTGCTCAAAAAAAAGAAAGGTTCAACTCTGTGAGATGAATGCACACATCACAAACAAGTTTCTCAGAATGTTTCTGTGCGAAGATATTTCCTTTTTCACCATAGGCCAAAACCTATGTTTTGTGTGTGAAAACTGCTCACAAACATCCGTTTGCAGATTCTACAAAAAGACTGTCTCCAAACTGCTCAATCGAAAGAAAATTTCAACTCAATGAAGTGAATGCATACATAACAAAGAAGTTTCTCAGAAAACTTCACCTACCTTTATGTGAAGATATTTCCTTATTTATCACAGGCCCCAAAGTGCTCCAAATATCCCTTTGCAGATACTACAAAAACAGTGTTTCCAAACTGATCAATGAAAAGATAGGTTCAACTCTGGGAGATGAATGCACACATCACAAAGAAGTTTCTCAGAAAACTTATGTCTCGTTTTTATGTGAAGGTATTTCCTTTTTCACCATAGGCCCCAAAGGGCTCCAAATATCCCTTGGTAGATTCTTCAAAAAGACTGTTTATGTTTCCAAACTGCTCCATCAAAGGAAGGGTTGAACTCTGTGAGATGAATGCGTACATCACAAAGAGGTTTTTCAGAAAATCTCTGTGTAGTTTTTCATTGAGGATATATCCTTTTACACCATAGGCCTTAAAATGCTCCTATTATCCCTTTGCAGATTCTACAAAAAGACTGTTTCCAAACTGCTCAATCAAAATAAAGGTTGAACTCCGTGAGATGAATGCACTCTTCACAAATAATTTTCTCAGAAAGATTCAGTATAGTTTTTTTGTGAAGATATTTCCTTATTCACCACAGGCCCCAAAGCACTCCAAATACCTTAATGCAGACTCTACAAAAAGACTGTTTCCAAACCGCTCAATGAAAAGGAAGGTTCAACTCTGGGAGATGAATGCATACATCACACAGCAGTTTCCCATAATTCTTCTGTCTACTTTTCCTGTGAAGATATTTCCTTTTCCTTCATAGGCCTCAAAAAGCTCCAAATATTCGTTTACAGATTCTACAAAAAGACTGTTTCCAAACTCCTCAATGAAAAGAAAGGTTTTGAGTGCATTTTGAGTGAAAACCTTTCAAAACCACTCAACTACATGGAAACTGAACAACTTGCTCTGGAAAGACTACTGGATACATAATGAAATGAAGGCAGAAATAAAGATGTTCTTTGAAACCAATGAGAAAAAAGACACAACATACCAGAATCTCTGGGACACATTCAAAGCAGTGTATAGAGGGAAATTTATAGCACTAAATGCCCACAAGAGAAAGCAGAAAAGATCCAAAATTGACACCCTAACATCACAATTAAAAGAACTAGAAAAGCAAGAGCAAACACATTCAAAAGCTAGCAGAAGGCAAGAAGTAACTAAAATCAGAGCAGAACTGAAGGAAATAGAGACAAAAAAGACCCTTCAAAAAATTAATGAATCCAGGAGCTGGTTTTTTGAAAGGATTAACAAAACTGATAGACTGCTAGCAAGACGAATAAAGAAAAAAAGAGAGAAGAATCAAATAGATGCAATAAAAAGTGATAAAGGGGATATCACCACTGATCCCACAGAAATACAAACTACCATCAGAGAATACTACAAACACCTCTACGCAAATAAACTAGAAAATCTAAAAGAAATGGATAAATTCCTCAATGCATACACTCTCCCAAGACTAAACCAAGAAGAAGTTGAATCTCTGAAGAGACCAATAACAGAAGCTGAAATTGTGGCAATAATCAATAACTTCCCAACCAAAAACAGTCCAGGACCAGATGGATTCACAGCCAAATTCTACCAGAGGTACAAGGATGAACTGCTACCATTTCTTCGGAAAATATGCCAATCAATAGAAAAATAGGGAATCCTCCATAACTCATTTTAGGAGGCCAGCGTCATCCTGAAACCAAAGCCAGACAGAGACACAACCAAAAAAGAGAATTTTAGACCAATATCCTTGATGAACATTGATGCAAAAATCTTCAATAAAATACTGGCAAACTGAAACCAGCAGCACATCAAAAAGCTTATCCACCATGATCAGGTGGGTTTCATCTCTGGGATGCAAAGCTGGTTCCATATATGCAAATCAATAAATGTAATCCAGCATATAAACAGAACCAAAGACAAAAACCACATGATTATCTCAATAGATGCAGTAAAGGCCTTTGACAAAATTCAACAACTCTGCATGCTAAAAACTCTCAATAAATTAGGTATTGATGGGACATATCTCAAAATAATAAGAGCTATCTATGACAAACCCACAGCCAATATCATACTGAATGGGCAAAAACTGGAAACATTCCCTTTGAAAATGGACACAAGACAGGGATGCCCTCTCTCACCACTCCTATTCAACAGAGTGTTGGAAGTTCTGGCCAGGGCAATTAGGCAGGAGAAGGAAATAAAAAGGTATTCAACTAGGAAAAGAGGAAGTCAAATTGTCCCTGTTTGCAGATAACATGATTGTATATCTAGAATACCCCATTGTCTCAGCCCAAAATCTCCTTAAGCTAATAAGCAACTTCAGCAAAGTCTCAGGATACAAAATCAATGTACAAAAATCACAAGCATTCTTATACACCAATAACAGACAAACAGAGAGCCAAATCACGAGTGAACTCCCATTCACAATTGCTTCAAAGAGAATAAAATACCTAGGAATCCAACTTACAAGGGACGTGAAGGACCTCTTCAAGGAGAACTACAAACCACTGCTCAATGAAATAAAACAGGATACAAACAAATGGAAGAACATTCCCTGCTCACAGGTAGGAAGAATCAATATCATGAAAATGGCCATAATGCCCAAGGTAACTTATAGATTCAATACCATCCCCATCAAGCTACCAATATGAACAGACACTTCACAGAATTGGAAAAAACTACTTTAAAGTTCATATGGAACCTAAAAAGAGCCCACATCACAAAGTCAATCCTAAGCCAAAAGAACAAAGCTGGAGGCATCACGCTACCTCACTTCAAACTATACTACAAGGCTCCAGTAACTAAAACAGCATGGTACTGGTACCAAAACAGAGATATAGACCAATGGAACAGAACAGAGCCCTCAGAAATAATGCCACATATCTACAACTATCTGATCTTTGACAAACCTGAGAAAAACAAACAATGGGGAAAGGATTCCCTATTTAATAAATGGTGCTGGGAAAACTGGCTAGCCATATGTAGAAAGCTGAAACTGGATCACTTACTTGCACCTATACAAAAATTAATTCAAGGTGGATTAAAGACTTAAACATTAAACCTAAAACCATAAAAACCCTGGAAGAAAACCTAGGCATTACCATTCAGGACATAAGCATGGGCAAGGACTTCATGTCTAAATCACCAAAAGCAATGTCAACAAAAGCCAAAATTGACACATGGGATCTAATTAAACTAAAGAGCTTCTGCACAGCAAAAGAAAGAAACTACCATCAGAGTGAACAGGCAACCTACAAAATGGGAGAAAATTTTCGCAACCTAATCATCTGACAAAGGGTTAATATCCAGAATGTACAATGAACTCAAACAAATTTACAAGAAAAAAACAAACAACCCCATCAAAAAGTGGGCGAAGGGGCCGGGTGCGGTGGCTCACGCCTGTAATCCCAGCACTTTGGGAGGCCGAGGCGGGCAGATCACGAGGTCAGGAGATCGAGACCATCCTGGCTAACACGGTGAAACCCCGTCTCTACTAAAAATACAAAAAATTAGCTGGGCGCAGTGGCGGGCGCCTGTAGTCCCAGCTACTCGGGAGGCTGAGGCAGGAGAATGGCGTGAACCCGGGAGGCGGAGCTTGCAGTGAGCCGAGATCGGGCCACTGCACTCCAGCCTGGGCGACAGAGCGAGACTCCGTCTCAAAAAAAAAATACAAAAATAAAAAATAAAAAAGTGGGCGAAGGATATGAAGAGATACTTCTCAAAAGAAGACATTTATGCAGCCAAAAAACACATGAAAAAATGCTCATCATCATTGGCCATCAGAGAAATGCAAATCAAAACCACAATGAGATATCATCTCACACCAGATAGAATGGCAATCATTAAAAAGTCAGGAAACAACAGGTGCTGGAAAGGATGTGGAGAAATAGGAACACTTTTACACTGTTGGTGGGACTGTAAACTAGTTCAACCATTGTGGAAGTCAGTGTGGCGATTCCTCAGGGATCTAGAACTGGAAGTACCATTTGACCCAGCCATCCCATTACTGGGTATATACCCAAAGGACTATAAATCATGCTGCTATAAATCATCTGTCTAGTTTCCATATGAACATATTTCCTTTTTCAACATAGTCCTCAAAGGACTCAGAAATATCCGATTGTAGATTCCACAAAAAGACTGTTTCCAACCACTGAATCAAAAAAAAAAGGTTCAACTCTTCGAGACTAATGCACACATCACAAAGAATTTTCCCAGAAAGATTCCATTTTCTATGTGAAGATATTTCCTTTTTCACCATAGTCCCAAAACCACTCACAATTATCCCTTCACAGATTCTACAAAAAGACTGTCTCCAAACTGCTCAAACAAAAGAAAGTTTCAACTCAGTGAGATGAATGCACACATAACATAGAAGTTTCTCAGAAAACTTCTGTCTACTTTTAAGTGAAGATAATTCCTTATTCACCACAGGCCCCGAAGCAATCCAAATATGCCTTTGCAGATTCTACATAAACACTGTTTCCAAACTGCTCACTGAAAAGAAAGGTTCAAACCTGGGAGAGGAATGCACACATCACAAAGTGGTTTCTCAGAAAGCTTCTGTATAGCTTTTATGTGAAGATATTTCCTTTTTCACCATACTCCCCAAATTGCTCAATGTATCCCATTGCAGATCCTACAAAAAGACTGTTTCAAAACTGATCAATCAAAACAAAGGTTCAACTCTGTGAGATGAAAGTACACAACACAGAGAACTTTCTCAAAAACTTTCTGTCTAGATTTTATGTGAAGATATTTCCTTTTTCACCAGAGGCCTCAAACCCCTCACAAATATCTCTCTGCAGATTCTACAAAAAGATGGTTACCAAACTTCTCAGTGAAGAGAAAGGTTCAACTCTGTGAGAGGAAAGCACATATCACAAGGGAGTTTCTCAGAAAGCTTCTGTCTAGTTTGTACGTGAAGTTCTTTCCTTTTTCACCAAAGTCCTCAAAGCGTACCAAATATCCATTAGCAGATTCTACAAAAAGATTGTTTCACTGCTGCTCAATCAAAAGATTCAACTCTGAGAGATGAGGGTGCACATTACAAAGGAGTTTCTCAGAAAGCTGAAGTCTAGTTTTTATGAGAAGATATTTCATTTTTCACCATAGCCCTCAAAGGGCTCACAATTAACTCATTGCAGATTCTACAGAAAGACAGTTTCCAATCTGCTCAATCAAAAGAAAGTTCAACTGTGTGAGATGAAAGCACACATCACAAAGAAGTTTCTCAGAAATTTTCCGTCTAGCTTTTATGTGAAGATATTTCCATTCCCACCATGGGCCTCAAAGCACTCCAAATATCCATTTGCAGATTCTACAAAAAGACTGTTTCCAAAGTGTTCAGTCAAAAGGAAGGTTGAGCTCTGTGAGATGAATGCACACATTGCAAAGGAGTATCTCAGAAAGCTTCTGTCTAGTTTTAATGTGAAGATATTTCCTTTTTCACCATGGGCCTCAAAGCACTCCTAATATCCATTTGCAGATTCTACAAAAATACTCTTTCCAAACTGCTCAAACAAAAGAAAGGTTCAACACTATAAGACGAATGCACACATCACAAAGAAGTTTCTCAAAAATCCCCCATCTAATTTTTATGTGAAGATATTTCCTTTTTCACCATAGGCCCCAAACCACTCACGATTATCCCTCTGCAAATCCCAGAAAAAGAGTGTTTCCAAACTGCTCAATGAAAAGAAAGGTTCAATTCTGTGAGATGAATGCACACATCACAAATAATTTTCTGAGAATGCTTCTTTCTAGTTTTTATGTGAAGATATTTCCTTTTTAACCATGGGCCACAAAGCTCTCCAAATATCCCTTGGCGGATTCTGCAAATAGGTGTTTCCAAACTGCTCAAATCAAACAAAGGTTCAAATCTGTGAGATGAAAGCACATATCACAAAGGCGTTTCTCAGAAAACTTCTGTCTAGTTTTTAGGTGAAGATGTTTCCTATTTCACCATAGGCCTCAATGAGCTCTCAAATATCCTTTTGCAGATTCTACAAAAATACTGTCTACGAACTGCTCAATCCAAAGAAATTTTCAACTCTGTGAGATGAATGCACACATCACAAAGAGGTTTCTCAGAATGCTTCTAATTTTCATATGAAGATATTTCTCTTTCTCCATAGGCCTAAAGTCTTTCAGAAATAGCCCTTTGCAGATTGCACAAAAAGAATATATCCAAACTGCTCAATCAAAAGAAAGGTTCAAGTCTGTGATGTGAATGCACACATCACAGAGAAGTTTCTCAGAAATCTTCTGTCTACTTTTCACGTGAATATATTTCCTTTTTCACCAAAGGGCTCAAAGTGCTCCAAATATCCTTTTGCAGACTCTACAAAAAGACTGTTTCCAAACTGCTCAATGAAAAGGAAGGGTCAAATCTGTGAGGTGAATGCACAAAACACAAACAAGTTTCTAAGAAAGATTCTGTCTAGTTTTTTTGTGAAGATATTTCCTTTTTCACCACAGGCCTCAAAGTGCTCCAAATACCCATTTGCAGATTCTACAAAAAGACTGTTTCCAAACTGTTCAATCAAAAGAATGGTTCAACTCTGAGAAAAGAAAGCACACATCAGAAAGAAGTTTCTCAGAAAGCTAAAGTCTAGTTTTTGTGTGAAGATATTTCGTTTTTCACCATGGGCCTCAAAGGGCTCACAAATATCCCTTTGCAGATTCTACAAAAAGATTGTTTCCAAACTGCTCAATGGAAAGAAATGTTCAACAATGGAGATGAAAGCACACATCACAAAATAGTTTCTCAGAAAGTTTCTGTCTACTTTTGATGTGAAGATATTTATTTTTTCACAATACGCCACAAAGCACTCCAAATATCTATCTGCAGATACTGTAAAAAGACTGTTTCCAAACTGCTCAATCAAAAGAAAGGTTCAACGCTGTGAGATGAATGCACACATCACAAAGAAGTTTCTCAGAATGCTTCTCTCTAGTTTTTATGTGACAATATTTCCTTTTCCACCGTAGTTTTGAAACCACTCACAAATATCCCTCTGCAGTTTCTATAAAAAGACTGTTTCCCTGAACAACCTGCTCCTGAATGACTATTGGGTATATAATGAAATGAAGGCAGAAATAAAGAAGTTCTTTGAAACCAATGAGAAAAAAGACACAACATACCAGAATCCATGGGACACATTCAAAGCAGTGTGTACAGGGAAATTTATAGCACTAAATACCCAAAAGAGAAAGCAGGAAAGATCTAAAATTGACAACCTAACATCACAATTAAAAGGGCTCGAAAAGTAAGGGCAAACACATTCAAAACCTAGCAGAAGGCAAGAAATAACTAAGATCAGAGCAAAACTGAAGGAAATAGAAGCACAAAAAACCCTTCAAAAAATTAATGAATCCAGGAGGTGGTTTTTTGAAAGGATCAACAAAATTGATAGACCACTAGCAAGACTAATAAAAAAGAAAAGAGAGAAGAATAAAATAGACGCAATAAAAATTGATAATGGGGATATCACCACCGATCCCCCAGAAATACATACTGCCATCAGAGAATACTATAAACACCTCTATGCAAATAAACTAGAAAATCTAGAAGAAGTGGATAAATTCCTCCACACATACAACCTCCCAAGACTAAACCAGGAAGAAGTTGAGTCTCTGAATAGACCAATAACAGAAGCTGAAATTGAGGCAATAATCAACATCTTACAAACCATATAAGGTCCAGGACCAGATGGATTCAAAGCCGAATTCTACCACAGGTGGAAAGAGGAGCTGGTACCATTCCTTCTGAAACTATACCAATCAATAGAAAAACAGGGAATCCTCCCTAACTCATTTTATGAAGCCAGCATCATCCTTATACCAAAGCCTGGCAGAGACACAACCAAAAAAGAGAATTTTAGACTAATACCCTTGATGAACATCGATGCAAAAATCCTCAATAAAATACTGGCAAACTGAATCCAGCAGCACATCAAAAAGCTTATCCACCATGATCAAGTGGGCTTCACCCCTGGGATGCAAGGCTGGTTCAACCTATGCAAATCAAGAAATGTAATCCAGCATATAAACAGAACCGAAGACAAAAACCACATGATTACCTCAATAGACACAGAAAAGTTCTTTGACAAAATTCAACAACCCTTCATGATAAAAACTCTCAACAAATTAGGTATTGATGGGACATATCTCAAAATAATAAGAGCTATCTATGACAAACCCACAGCCAATATCATACTGAATGGGCAAAAACTGGAAGCATTCCCTTTGAAAACGGGCACAAGGCAGGAATGCCCTCTCTCACCACTCCTATTCAACAGAGTGTTAGAAGTTCTGGCCAGGGCAATTAGGCAGGAGAAGGAAATAAAGGGTATTCAATTAGGAAAAGAGGAAGTCAAATTGTCCCTGTTTGCAGATAACATGATTGTATATCTAGAAAACCAAATCGTTTCAGCCCAAAATCTCCTCTAGCTGATCAGCAACTTCAGCAAAGTCTCAGGATACAAAATCAATGTACAAAAATCACAAGCATTCTTATATACCAATAACAGACAAACAGAGAGCCAAATCATGAGTGAACTCCCATTCACAATTGCTTCAAAGAGAATAAAATACTTAGGGATCCAACTTACAAGGGATGTGAAGGACCTCTTCAAGGAGAACTACAAACCACTGCTCAAGGAAATAAAAGAGGATACAAACAAATGGAAGAACATTCCATGCTCATGGGTAGGAAGAATCAATATCGTGAAAATGGCCATACTGCCCAAGGTAATTTACAGATTCAATGCCATCCCCATCAAAGTACCAATGATTTTCTTCACAGACTTGGAAGAAACTACTTTAAACTTCATATGGAACCAAAAAAAGAGCCCACATTGCGAAGTCAATCCTAATCCAAAAGAACAAAGCTGGAGGCATCATGCTACCTGACTTCAAACTATACTACAAGGCTCCAGTAACCAAAACAGCATGGTACTGGTACTAAAACAGAGATATAAACCAATGGAACAAAATAGAGGCCTCAGAAATAATGCTGCATATCTACAACTGTCTGATCTTTGACAAACCTGAGAAAAACAAGCAATGGGGAAAGGATTCCCTATTTAATAAATGGTGCTGGGAAAACTGGCTAGCCATATGTAGAAAGTTGAAACTGAATCCCTTCTTTATACCTTACACAAAAGTTAATTCAAGATGGATTACAGACTTAAATGCTAGACCTAAAACCATAAAAACCCTAGAAGAAAACCTAGGCAATACCATTCAGGACATAGGCATGGGCAAGGACTTCGTGTCTAAATCATCAAAAGCAATGGCAACAAAAGCCAAAATTGACAAATGGGATCTAATTAAACTAAAGAGCTACTGCACAGCAAAGGAAACTACCATCAGGGTGAACAGGCAACCTACAGAATGGGAGAAAATTTCTGCAACCTACTCATCTGACAAAGGGCTAATATCCAGAATCTACAATGAACTCAAATAAATTTACAAGAGAAAAACAAACAACCCCATCAAAAAGTGGGTGAAGGATATGAACAGACATTTCTCAAAAGAAGACATTTATGCAGCCAAAAAACACATGAAAAAATGCTCATCATCACTGGCCATCAGAGAAATGAAAATCAAAACCATAATGCGATACCATCTCACACCAGATAGAATGGCAATCATTAAAAAGTCAGGAAACAACAGGTGCTGGAGAGGATGTGGAGAAACAGGAACACTTTTACACTGTTGGTGGGACTGTAAACTAGTTCAACCATTGTGGAAGTCAGTGTGGCGATTCCTCAGGGATCTAGAACTAGAAATACTATTTGACCCACCCATCACATTACAGGGTATATACCCAAAGGATTATAAATCATTCTGTTATAAAGACATATGCACACGTATGTTTATAGTGGCACCATTCACAATAGCAAAGACTTGGAACCAACTTAAATATTCAACAACAATATACTGGATTAAGAAAACGTGGCACATATACACCATGGAATACTATGCAGCCATAAGAAATGATGAGTTCATGTCCTTCATAGGGACATGGATGAAACTGGAAACCATCATTCTCAGAAAACTATCACAAGCACATAAAAACCAACCACTGCATGTTCTCACTCAAAGGTGGGAATTGAACAATGAGAACACATGGACAGAGGAAGAGGAACATCACACACCGGGGACTGTTGTGGGGTGGGTGGGGGGGGAGGGATAGCATTAGTAGATACACCTAACACTGAATGACGAGTTAATGGGTGATGCACACCAACACGGTACATGTATACATATGTAACAAACCTGCACGTTGTGCACATGTACCCTAAAATTTAAAGTATAATAATAAAATTTAAAAAAAACAAAAGAAAGGTGCAACTCTCTGAGATAAATACACACATCACAAAGAAGTTTCTCAAACAGCTTCTGCCTAGTCTTTATTTGAAGATATTTCCTTTTTAAACATAGGCCTCAAATTGCTCCAAGTATCCCTTTTCAGACACTACAAAAAGACTGTTTCAAAACTGATCAATCAAAAGAAAGGTTCAACTCTGTGACATGAAAGCACACAACATAGAGTAGTTTCTCAGAAACCCTTTGTCTAGTTTTTATGTGAAGATATTTCCTTTTTCAACATAGATCTCAATGGGCTCACAAATAGCCCTTTGCAGATTCTACAAAAAGACTGTTTCCAAAATGCTCAATCTAAAGAAAGGTTCAACTCCGTGAAATTAATGGACACATCACAAAGAAGTTTCTCAGAAACCTTCTGTCTATTTTTTAGTTGAAGATATTTCCTTTTTCACCGTACACCTCAAAGAAATCAAAAATATCCCTTTGCAGATACTACAAAAAGACTGCTTCCAAACTGCTCAATCAAAAGAAAAGATCAACTCTGTGAGATGAATGCACACATCACAAAGAAGTTTCTCGGAATGCTTCTTTCTAGTTTTTAAGTGAAGATGTTACCTTTTGCCCATAGACACCAAACCACTCACAAATATCCCTTCGCAGATTCTACAAAAAGACTGTCTGCAAACTACTCAAACAAAAGAAAGTTTCAACTCAGTGAGGTGAATGCACACATAACAAAGAAGTTTCTCAGAAAACTTCTGTTTACTTTTATGTGAAGATATTTCCTTATTCAATGCAGGCCAAAAGCACTCCAAATATCCCTTTGCAGATTCTACAAAAACACTGTTTCCAAACTTCTCAGTGATAAGAAATATTCAACTCTGGGAGATGAATGTACACATCACAAAGAAGTTTCTCAGAAAGCTCCTGTCTAGTTTTTATGTGAAGATATGTCCTTATTCACCATAGGCCACAAAGCGCTCCAAATATCCCTTTGCAGTTTCTACGAAGAGTGTTTCCAAGCTGCTCAATGAACAGAAAGGTGTCAACTCTGGGAGATGAATGCACACATCACGAAGCAGTTTCTCATAAGGCTTCTGTCTAGTTTTTAGGTGAAGATATTACCTTTTTCTTCATAGGACTAAAAGCGTTCTAAATATCCCTTTGCAGATTCTGCAAAAAGACTCTTTCCAAACTGATCAATGTAAACAAAGTTCAACTCTGTGAGATGAAAGCACACAACACAGAGAAGTTTCTCAGAAAGCTTCTGTCTAGTTTTTATGTGAAGATATTTCCTTTTTCAACATAGGCCTAAAAGGGGTCACAAACATCCCTTTGCAGATTCTGCAAAAAGAGAGTTTCCAAACTTCTCAATAAAAAGAAAGTTTCAACACTGTGAGATGAAAGCCCACATCACAAAGAAGTTTCTCAGAAAGCTTCTGTCTAGTTCTTATGTGACGATGTTTCCTTTTTCACTATAAGCCTAAATGGGATCAAAATATCCCTTCGCAGATAGTACAAAAAGACTGTCTACAAAATCTACAAACTGCTCAAAGAAAAGAAAGGTTCAACTCTGTGAGATGAATGCATACATCACAAAGAAGTTTATCAGAAAGCTTCTGTTTAGTTTTTATGTGAAGATATTTCTTTTTCACTGTAGGCCTCAAAGCACTCACAAATATCCGTTTTCAGATTCTATAAAAAGGCTGTTTCCAAACTGCTCAATGAAAAGAAAGCTTCAACTCTGTTAGATGAATGCACACTTCACAAAACTTTCTCAGGAAGTTTCCATGTAGTTTTTATGTGAAGATATTTCCTTTTTCAGCATAGGCCTCAAAGCTCTCCAAATATCCATTTGCAGATTCTGCGTAAAGACTGTTTCCAAACTGCTCAATGAAAAGTTACCTTCAACTCTGTGAGACTAATGCACACATCACAAAGTAATTTCTCAGGAAACTTCTGTCTAGTTTTTATGTGAAGATATTTCGTTTTTCACCATAGGCTTCAAAGCACTCCAAATATCCATTTGCAGATTCTAAAAAAGACTGTTTCCAAACTGCTCAATGAAAAGAAAGCTTGAATTCTGTGAGATGAATGCACACATCACAAAGAGTATCTCAGAAAGTTCTATCTAGTTCTAGTTTGAAGATACTTCCTTTTTCACCATAGGCCTCAAAGAACTCCAACTGTCCCTTTGTAGATTCTACAAAAAGACTACTGTCTCCAAAATGATCAATCAAAAGAAAGGTTCAAATCCGTGAGATGAATGCACACATCACAAAGAAGTTTCTCAGACAGCCTCTGTCTAGTTTTTATGTGAAGATATATCCTTTTTCACCATAGACCTCAAATGGCTCACTAATATCCCTTTGCAGATACTACAAAAAGACTGTTTCCAAAATGCTCAATCAAAAGAAAGATGCAACTCTGTTAGATGAATACACACATCACAAAGAAGATTCTCAAAAAGCTTCTGTCTAGTTTTAATGTGAAGATTTTTCCTTGTTCACCATAGGCCATGATGCACTCTAAATATCCATCTGGAGATTCTACAAAAACACTGTCTCCAAACTGCTCAAGCAAAGCAAAGGTTCAATTCTATGAGTTGAATGCACACATCAAAAAGAAGTTTCTCAGAAAGCTTCTGTCTAGGTTTCAAGTGAAGATATTTGCTTTTTCACCATAGGTCTCAAACCGCTCACAAATATCCCTTTACAGATACTACAAAAACACTGTTTCCAAACTACTCACTCAAAAGAAAGATTCAACTCTGTTATATGAGTGCACACATCACAAAGAAGTTTCTCAGAAAGCTTCTGTCTAGTTTTTATGTGAAGATATTTCCTTTTTCACTGTAGGCCACAATGCACTCTAAATATCCATTTTCAGATTCTAAAACAGACTATTTCGAAATTGCTCAATGAAAAGAAAGTTTGAACTCTGTGAGGTGAATGCACACATCATAAAGAAGTTTCTCAGAAAGCATCTGTCTAGTTTTTCTATGAAGATATTTCATTTTTCACCACATGCCTCAAAGCGCTCACAAATATCCCTTGGCAGATTCTACAAAAAGACGGTTTCCAAACTGCTCAATCAACACAAAGCTTCAACTCTGTGAGATGAATGCACACATCACTAAGAAGTTTCTCGGAAACCTTCTGTCTATTTTTTACATGAAGATATTTATTTATTCACCCCAGGCCCAAAACTGCACCAAATATCCCTTTGCAGATTCTACAAAAAGGCTGTTTCCAAACTACTCAGTGAAAAGGAAACTTCAACTCCATGAGATGAATGGGCACGTCACAAAGAAGTTTCTCAGAAGCCTTCTGGCTAGTTTTTATGTGAACATATTTCCTTTTTTACCATGGGACTCAAAGCAATAACAAATATCCCTTTGCACATTCTACAAAAAGTCTATTTCCAAACTGCTCAATCTAAGGAATGGTTCAACTCTGTGAGATGAATGCTCACATCATAAATTACTTTCTCAGAAATCTGCTGTCTAGTTTTGATGTGAAGATATTTCATTTTTCACCATAGGCCTCAAACCGCTCACAAATACCCCGGTGCAGATTCTTCAAAAAGACTGTTTCCAAACTGCTTAATCAAAATAAAGTTGAAACTCTGTGAAATGTTTGCACACATCCAAAGAAATTTCTCAGAAAGCTTCTGTCTAGTTTTTATGTGAAAATATTTCATTTTTCACCATAAATCTCAAAGCGATCACAAATATCCTTTTGTAGATTGTACAAAAAGACTGCTTCCAAACTGCTCAATCAAGAGAATGGTTCAACTTTGTGAGATGAATGCACACATCACAAGGTAGTTTCTCAGAATGCTTCTTTCTATTTTTTAGGTGAGGATATTTTCTTTTTCACCATAGACCCTAAATCGCTCAGAAATCTACAGAATCTACAGAATCTTCTGAATCCTTGCAGAATCTACAAAAAGAATCTACAAAAAGAAAGTCTCCAAACAGCTCAATCAAAGGAAATCTTCAACTCTGTGAGATGAATACAGACATCACAAAGAAATTTCTCAGAAAGCTTCTGTGAAGTTTTTTTGTGAAGATGTTTCATTTTTCACCGTAGACCTCAAAGAACTCTCAGTATCCATTTGGAGATTCTACAAAAAGAGAGTTTCCAAACTGTTTCCAATAGAAAGGTTCAAATCTGTGAGGTGAATGTACACATCACAAAGAAGTTTCTCAGAAAGCTTCTGTCTATTTTTTATGTGATGATATTTCTTTTTTCACCAAAGGACTCTAAGTGCTCTAAACATCCATTTGCAGATTCTACAAAAAGAGTGTTTCCAAGCTGCTCAATTAAAATAAAGGTTTAACTCTATGAGATCTACACACACATCACAAAGAAGTTTCTCAGAAACCTTCTGTCTAGTTTTTATGTGAAGATATTTTGTTTTTCACCTTACATCTCAAAACACACAAAATATCTCTAGGTAAATTCTACAAAAAGTCTGTTTCCAAACTGCTCAATCAAAAGAAACTTTCAACTCTGTAAGATGAATGCACACATCACAAAGAAGTTTCTCAAAATGCTTCTGTCTAGTTTTTATGTGAAGATATTTGCTTTTTCACCATAGGCCTCAAATTGCTCCAAATATACCTTTGAACATTCTACAGAGTGTTTCCAAACTGATCAATCAAAAGAAAGGTTCACATCTGTGAGATGAAAGCAAACCTCTCAAGGAAGTTTCTCAGAAAGCTTCTCTCTAGTTTTTATGTGAAGATATTTCATTTTTCACCATAGGCCCCAAACTGCTCACAAATATCCCTTTGCAGATTCTATGAAAAGACTGTTTCAAAACTGCTCAATCCAAAGAAATGTTCAATCTGTGAGATGAATGCACACATCAAAAAGAAGTTTCTCAGACAGCTTATGTCTAGTTTTCATGTGAATATTTTCCTTATTCACCATAGTCCCCAAAGAGCTCTAAAAATCCCTTAGCTGATTCTACAGAAAGACAGTTTCCAAACTACTCAATAAAAATAAAGGTTCAACCCTGTGAGATGAATGCACATATCACAAAGAAGTTTCTCAAAATGCTTCTGTCAAGTTTTTATGTGAAGACATTTCCTTTTTCAGTATAGGCCTCAGAGCACTCCAAATATCAATTTGCAGATTCTACAAAAAGACTGTTTCCAAACTTTTCAATTAAAGTAATGATTCAACTCTGTGTAATGAAAGCACACATCACAAAGAATTTCCTCCGAAAAATTTTGTCTAGTTTATATATGAAGATATTTCCTTTTTCACATTAGGCCTCAAAGCACTCGAAATATCCCTTTGCAGATACTACAAAAAGACTGTTGCAAACTGCTCAATTGAAATGAAGATTCAACTCTGTGAGATGAATGCACAAGTCACAAAGAAGTTTCTCATAACGCTTCTGTCTGGTTTTTATGTGAAGATACTTGCTTTTTCATCATAGGCCTCAAAGCCCTCCTAATATCTCTTGGCAATTTCTACATAAAGACTCTTTCCAAGCTGCTCAATCAAAAGAAAGTTTCAACTCCATGAGATGAAAGCCCACATCACAAAGAAATTTCTCAGAATGCTTCTGTCTTGTTTTTCTGTGCAGATATTTCCTTTTTCACTATAGGCTCCATACTGCTCACAATTATCCCTTTGCATATTCTACAAAAAGACTGTTTCCAAACTGCTCAATCAAAAGAAAGCTTCAACTAAGTGAGTTGAATGCACACATCACAAAGAAGTTTCACAAAAAGCTTCTGTCTAGTTTTTATGTGAAGATATTTCCTTATTCAACACAGGCCACAAAGGGCTCAAAATATCCCTTTGCAGATTCTACACAAAGACTTTTTCCAAACTATTCAATGAAAAGCAAGATTCAACTCTGTTAGATGAATGCAAACATCAAAAAGATGTTTCTCAGAACGCTTCTGTCTGGTTTTTATGTGAAGATATTTGCTTTTTCACCATAGGTCTTGAAGTGCTCCAAATATCTCTTGGAAAATTCTACAAAAAGACCTTTTCAAAACTGCTCAATTGAAAGAAATGTTCAACTCTGTGAGATGGATGCAATTATCACAAAGAAGTTTCTCTCCAAGCTTCTGTGTAGTTTTTATATGAAGATATTTCCTTTTTCACCATAGGACTTAAACCGCTCAGAAACGTCCCTTTGCAGATTCTACAAAAAGACTCTTTCCAAACTTCTTAATCAAAAGAAAGCTTCAACTCTGTGAGATGAATGCACACATGAAAAAGAAGTTTCTCAGAAAGCCTCTGTCAAGTTTTTATTTGAAGATATTTGCTTTTTCACCACAGACCTCAAAGTGTTCCACGTATCCCTTTGCAGATTCTACAAAAAGACTGTTTCCAAACTGTTCAATAAAAGGAAAGTTTGAACTGGTGAGATAAATGCACACATCAGAAAGATGTTTCTCAGAATGCTTCTGTCTACTTTTTAAGTGAAGATATTTCCTCTTTCACCAATTGGTCCCAAACTGCTCACAAATATCCCTTTGAAGATTCTACAAAAAGACTGTTTCCAAATTGCTCAATCAAAACAAAGCTTCAACCCTGTGAGATGAATGCACATATCACAAAGATGTTTCACAAAAAACTTCTGTCTACTTTTTATGTGAAGGTATTTCCTTAGTCACCACAGGCCCCAAAGTGCTCCAAATATCCATTTGCAAATTCTACAAAAAGACTGTTTACAAACTGCTCTATCAAAAGAATGGTTCTACTCTGTGAGATGAATGTACACATCACAAAGAAGTTTCTCAAAAAGCTTCTGTCTAGTTTTTATGTGAGGATATTTCCTTTTTCACCGTAGGCCTCAAAGTGCTCACAATTATCCCTTAGCAGATTCTACAAAAAGACTGTTTCCAAACTGCTCAATCAAAAGGAAGGTTCAACTCTGTGAGATGAATGCACACATCACAAAGAAGTTTCTCTGAAAGCTTCTGTCTAGTTTTCATTTGAAGATATTTCCTTTTTCACCATAGGCCTCAAACTGCCCATACATATCTCTTTGCAGATTCTACAAAAAGACTGTATCCAAAGTGCTCAAACAAAAGAAAGTTTCAACTCTGGGAGATGAATTTCCCCATCACAAAGAAGTGTCTCAGAAAGCTTCTGTCTATTTTTAATGTAAAGATATTTCCTTTTTCACCATAGGCCTCAAAGCTCTCCAAATATCCTTTGGCGGATCCTACAAAAACACTGTCTTCAAAGTGCTCAATCAAAAGAAAGCTTCAACCCTGGGAGATGAATCCCCATATCACAAATAAGTGTTTCAGAAAATTTCTGTCTAATTTTTATGTGACGATATTTCCTTTTTCACCATAGGCCTCAAAGTGCTCCAAATATCCTTTGGCAGATTCTACCAAAAGACTGTTTCCAAACTGCCCAATCAAAAGAAAGGATGAACTCTGGGAGATAAATCCACACATCACAAAGAAGTTTCTCGGAAGTCTTCTGTCCAGTTTTTATGTGAAGATATTTCCTTTTTCACCATAGGCTTCAAACTGCTCAAAAATATCTCTTTGCAGATTATACAAAAAGACTGTTTCCGAACTGCTTAATCTATGGAAAGGTTCAGCTCTGGGAGATGAAAGTACACATCACTATGAAGTTTGTCAGAAAGCTTCTGCCTAGGTTTTATGTGAAGATATTCCCTTTTTCACCAGAGGCTTCAATGTACTCCAAATATCCCTTGGTGGATCCTAGAAAAAGACTGTTTCCAAACAGCCCAATCAAAAGAAAGGTTCAACTCTTTGAGATGAAAAGACACATCACAAAGTACTTTCTCTGAAATCTTCTGTCTAATTTATATGTGAAGATTAGGCTTATTCACAATAGGCCTCAAAGCACTCCAAGTATTCCTTTGCAGATTCTACAAAAAGACTCTGTCCAAACTGCTCAAGCAAAAGAATGGTTCTTCTCTGTGAGCGGAATGCACACATCACAAACAGGTTTCTCAGAATGCTTGTCTACTTTTTTTGTGAGGATATTTCACTTTGCACCATAGGCCTCAAGCTGCTCACAAATATGCCTTGCGGATTCTAGAAAAAGATTGTTTCAAAACTGCCCAACTAAAGAAAGTTCCAAATCAGTGAGCTGAATGCACACATCACAAAGAACTTTCTCAAAAAGCTTATGTCTAATTTTTATGTGAAGATATTTACTTTTTCACCATAGGCCTCAAAGCACTCACAAATATCCCTTTGCAGATTCCACAAAAAGACTTATTCCAAACTACTTAATCAAAACAAAGTTTACACTCTGTGAGATGAATGCACACATCACTAGGAAGTTTCTCAGAAAGCTTCTGTCTAGTTTCGATTTGAAGATATTTCCTTTTTCACCATAAGCCTCAAAGTGCTCCAAGTATCTCTTTGCAGATTCTACAAAAAACACTGTTCCCAAACTTATCAATCAAAAGGAAGACTCAACTCTGTGTGATGAAACCACACATCACAAATAAGTTTTTTGGAAATCTTCTGTATAGTTTTTATGTGAAGGTATTTTCTTATTCACTGTAGGCCTCAAAGCACTCCAAATATCCTGTTGCAGATTCTACAAAAAGACTGTTTCCAAACTGCTCAATCAAAAGAAAGGTTCAACTCTGTGAGATGAATGCACACCTCACAAAGAAGTTTTTCAGAAAACTTCTGTCTAGTTTTTATGTGAAGATATATCATTTTTCAAAAATACACCTCAAATCACTCCAAATATCCCTTGGCAGATTCTACAAAAATACCGTTTCCAAACGGCACAACCAGAAGAAAACTTCAAGTCTTCTAGGTGAATGCACACATGACAAAAAAGTTTCTTATAAAGCTTCTGTCTACTTTTTATATGAAGATATTTCCTTTTTCACCATAGGCCTCCAACTACTCACAAATATCCTTTTGCAGATTATACAAAAAGATTGTTTCCAAACTGCTCAACCAGAGGAAATGTTCATCTCTGTGTAGATGAATGCAAACACCACAAAGAAGTTTCTCACAATGCTTCTGTCTAGTTTTTGGGTGAAGATATATCCTTTTTCACCATAGGCCTCAAACCGCTCAGAAATACACTTTGCAGATTCTACAAACAGACTGTTTCCAAACTGCTCAATGAAAAGAAAGGTTCAACTCTGTGAGATGAATGCACACATCACAAAGAAGTTTCTCAGAATGCTTCTGTCTATTTTTTATGTGAATATATTTCCTTTTTTACCATATGCCTCAAAGCACTAACAAATATCCCTTTGCAAATTCCACAAAAATTTTGTTTCCAAACTGCTCAATCAAAAGAAATGTTCATTCACCATAGACCTCAAACTGCTCAGAAATACACTTTGCAGATTCTACAAACAGACTCTTTCCAAACTCCTCAATGAAAAGAAAGGTTCAACTCTGTGAGACGAATGCACACATCACAAAGAAGTTTCTCAGAATGTTTCTGTCTATTTTTTATATGAATATATTTCCTTTTTTGCCATAGGCCTCAAAGCACTAATAAATATCCCTTTGCAGATTCCACAAAAAGATTGTTTCCAAACTGCTCAATCAAAAGAAATGTTCAACTCTGTGAGATGAATGCCAACATCACAAAGAAGTTTCTCACAATGTTTCTGTCTAGTTTTTGGGTGAAGATATTTCCTTTTTCACCATAGGCCTCAAACTGCTCAGAAATACACTTTGCAGATTCTACAAACAGACTGTTTCCAAACTGCTCAATGAAAAGAAAGGTTCAACTCTGTGAGACGAATGCACACATCACAAAGAAGTTTCTCAGAATGCTTCTGTCTATTTTTTATGTGAATACATTTCCTTTTTTACCATAGGCCTCAAAGCACTAACAAATATCCCTTTGCAGTTTCCACAAGAAGATTGTTTCCAAACTGCTCAATGAAAAGAAAGGTTCAACTCTGTGAGACGAATGCACACATCACAAAGAAGTTTCTCAGAATGCTTCTGTCTATTTTTTATATGAATACATTTCCTTTTTTACCATAGGCCTCAAAGCACTAACAAATATCCCTTTGCAGTTTCCACAAGAAGATTGTTTCCAAACTGCTCAATCAAAAGAAATGTTCAACTCTGTGAGATGAATGCAAACATCACAAAGAAGTTTCTCACAATGCTTCTGTCTAGTTTTTGGGTGAAGATATTTCCTTTTTCACCATAGGCCCTAATCCGCTCAAAGTTACCCTTTGCAGATTTTAGAAACAGACTCTTTCCAAACCGCTCAATCAAAAGAAAGGTTCAACTCTGTGAGATGAAGTCACACATGAGAAAAAAAGTTTTTCAGAAAGCTTCTGTCTAGTTTTTATGTGAAGATATTTCCTTATTCACCATAGGCCTCAAAGCACTCCAAATATTGCTTTGCAGAATCTACAAAGAGACTATTTCCAAACTGGTCAGCCAAAGCAAAGGTTCAACTCTGTGAGAGGAATACACATAACACAAATAAGTTTCTCAAAATCTTCTGTCTACTTTTTATGGGAAGATATTTTCTTATCACCACAGACCTCAAGCTGCTCAGAAGTAACCCTTTGCAGACTCTACAACAAGACAGTTTCCAAACTGATCAATCAATGGAAAGGATCAACTCTGTGAGATGAATGCACACATCACAAAGAAGTTTCTCAGAAAGCTTCTGTCTAGTTTTTATGTGACGATGTTTCCTTTTTCACTATAAGCCTAAATGGGATCAAAATATCCCTTCGCAGATAGTACAAAAAGACTGTCTACAAAATCTACAAACTGCTCAATGAAAAGAAAGTTTCAACTCTGTGAGACGAAACCGAACATCACAAAGAAGTTCCTCAGAATGCTTCTGTCTAGTTTTTATGTGAAGATATTTATTTTTTCACCATAGGCCTCAAAGCACTCAAAAATATCCCTTTGTAGATTCTACAAAAAGACTCTTTTCAAACTGCTCAATCAAAAGAAAAGTTCAACTCAGTGAGATGAATGCACACGTCACAAAGAAGTTTCCCAGAATGCTTCTGTCTAGTATTTACCTGAAGATATTTCCTTTTTCACCATATACCTCAAACTGCTCACGAATATCCCTTTGTGGATTTTACAAAAAGACTGTTTCCAAACTCCTCAATCAAAAGAATAGTTCATCTCTGCGAGATGAAGCAGACGTCACAAAGAAGTTTCTCAGAAAGCTTCTGTCTACTTTGTATGTGAAGGTATTTACTTTTTCACCATAGGCCTCAAACTGCTCACATATATCCCTTTGCAGATTCTACAAAAAGACTATTTCCAAACTGCTCAATTAAAAGAAAGGTTCAACTATGTGAGATGAATGCACACATCACAATGAAGTGTGTCAGGAGACTTCTGTCTGGGTTTTATGTGAAGATATTTCCTTTTTCACCATAGGCTTCATACCAATCAAAATTACCCTTTGCAGATTCTACAAACACACTGTTTCCAAACTGTTCCATCAAAAGAAAGGTTCAACTCTGTGAGATGAATGCACACATCACAAGGAAGTTTCTCAGAATGCTTCTGTCTACTTTTTATGTGAAGATATTTCCCTTTACACTATAGGCCTCAAACTACTCCCAGTATCCGTTTGCAGATTCTACAAAAAGACTGTTTGCAATCTCCTAAATCAAAAGAAATGTTCAACTCTGTGAGATGAAAGCACACATCACAAAGAAATTTCTCAGAAAGCTTATATCTAGTTTTTATGTCAGGATATTTCCTTTTTCATCAAAGGCCTCAAAGTGCTCAGAAATAACCCTTTATGGATTCTACCTAAAGACTATTTCCAAAGAGCTCAAACAAAAGTAAGGTTCAATTCTGTGAGATGAATGTACATATCACAAAGCAGTTTCTCAGAAAACTTATGTCTAGTTTTTATGTAAAGATAGTTCCTTTTTCACCATAGGCCTCAAAACGTCCCACATATTCATTTGCAGATTGCACAAAAAGACTGTTTCCAAACTGCTCAATCAAGAGAAAGGTTCATATCTGTGATACTAAATCACACATCACAAAGAAGTTTCTCAGAAAGCTTCTGTCTAGTTTTTATGTGAAGATACTCCCTTTCTCACCATAGGCCTCAAAGTGCTCAAATATATCCCTTTGCAGATTCTGCATAAAGACTGTTTCCAAACTGCTCAATCAAAAGAAAAGTTCAAACCTGTGACATGAATGCACTCATCATAAAGCAGTTTCTCAGAAATCTTCTGTGTAGTTTTTATGTGAAGATATTTCCTTTTTCACCATAGGCTTCAAAACGCTCAAATTATCCATTTGCAGATACTATAAAAGACTGTTTCCAAACTGCTCAATGAAAAAAAAGGTTCAACTCTGTTAGGTGAAGGCACACATCACAAATAAGTTTTTCAGAAATCTTCCCTCTAGTTTTTATTTGAAGATATTTCATTTTTCACTATATGTCTCTATTGGCTTACAAATATCCCCTTACAGATTCTACAAAAAGAAAGTTTCCAAACAGCTTAATCAAAAGAAAGGTTCAGCTCTGTGAGATGAAAGCAGAGATCATAAAGAAGTTTCTGAGAAAGCCTCTGTCTAGTTTTTATGTGAAGATATATCCTTTCTCACCACAGGCCTCAAACTGCTCAGAAATACACTTTGCAGATTCTACAAACAGACTGTTTCCAAACTGCTCAATGAAAAGAAAGGTTCAACTCTGTGAGACGAATGCACACATCACAAAGAAGTTTCCCAGAATGCTTCTGTCTATTTTTTATGTGAATATATTTCCTTTTCCACCATAGGCCTCAAAGTGCTCATAAATATCCCTTTGCAGGTTCTGCAAAAAGACTTTTTCCAAACTGTTCAATGAAAAAAAAGTTTCAACTCTGTGAGATGAATACACACATCAGAAATATGTTTCTTGGAAAGCTCCTGTCTAGTCTTTATGTGAAGATATTTCCCTTTTTCACCATAGGCCTAAAAGCACTCATATACCCCTTGGCAGATTCTACAAAAAGACTGTTTCCATACTGCTCAATCAAAAGAAATGTTCAACTCTGTGAGATGAATGCACACATCAAAAAGATGTTTCTCAAAAAGATGTTTCTCAGAATGTTTCTCTCTAGTTTTTATGTGAAGATATTTCCTTTTTCACCATAGGCCTCAATCCACTCACAAATACCCTTTGCAGATTATAGAAACAGACTGTTTCCAAACGGCTCAATCAAAAGAAATGTTCAACTCTGTAAGATGAATGCATATATCATAAAGAAATTTGTCAGAAAACTTCTGTCCAGTTTTTATGTGACAATAGTTACTTTCTCACAATAGGCCTCAAAGCGCTCCAAGTGTCCATTCGCAAATTCTATAAAAAGACTGTTTCCAAACTGCTCAATCAAAACAAAGGTTCAAATCTGTGAAGTGAATGCACACATCACAGAGGAGTTTCTCAGAAATCTTCTGTGTAGTTTTAATGTGAAGTTATTTTGTTTTTCACCATATGCCTCAAAGCACTCCCAATATCAATTTGGAGATTTTACAAAAGGCTGTTTCCAAACTGCTCAATCAAAAGAGTGGTTCAACTCTGTGAGATGAAAGCAGATATCACAAAGAAGTTTGACAGAAAACTTCTGTCTAGTTTTTATGTGAAGATATTTCCTTTTTCACCATAGGCCTCAAAAGGCTCACAAATATCCTTTTGCAGATTCTAAAAAAAGACGGATTCCATACTGCTCAATCAAAAGAAATTTTCAACTCTGTGACATAAATGCACACATCACAAAAAAGTTTCTCTGAATGCTTCTTTCTAGTTTTTATGTGAAGATCTTTCCTTATTCACCATAGTCCACAAATTGCTCCAAATATCTCTTTGCAGATTTTACAAAAAGACTGTTTTCAAACTTCTCAATGAAAACAAAGGTTCAACTCTGGGAGATGAATTCACACTTCACAAAGAAGTTTCTCAGAATGCTTTTGTCTAGCTTTTATTTTAAGCAATTTCTTTTTTCACCATAGGTCTCAATGGGATCACAATTATCCCATCACAGATTCTAGAAAAAGACTGTTTCCAAACTGCTAAATTAAAAGAAAGGTTCAACTCTGCAAAGTGAATGCACACACCACAAATTTGTTTCTCAGAATGCTTCTGTCTGGTTTTCATGTGAAGATATTTCGTTTTTCAACACAGGCCTCACAGTGCTCCAAATATCCACATGCATATTCTAAAAAAAGACTGTTTCCAAACTGCTCAATTAAAGAAAAGTTCAACTCTGTGAGATGAATGCACGGATCACAAAGAAGTATCTCAGAAAGCGTCTGTCTACTTTTTATGTGAAAATATTTCCTTTTTTACCAAAGGCCTAAAATCACTCACAAATACCCTTTTGCAGATTATACAAAAAGATTGTTTCCAAACCACTCAATCAGAAGAAATGTTCATGTCTGTGTGGATGAATGCCAACTTCATAAAGAAGTTTCTCAGAATGCTTCTGTCTAGTTTTTGTGTGAAGATATTTCCTTTTTCACCATAGGCCTCAAACTACTCAAAATTAGCCTTTGCAAATTCTACAAACAGACTGTTTCCAAACTTCTCAATCAAAAGAAAGGTTCAACTCTGTGAGATGAATGCACACATCACAAAGAAATTTCTTAGAAAGCTTCTGTCTAGTTTTTACGTGAAGATATTTCCTTTTTCATCATAGGCCTCAAAGCACTCACAAGTATCTCTTTGCAGATTCTACAAGAACAGAGTTTCCAATCTGCTCAATGAAAAGCAACACTCACCACTGTGAGATGAATGCACACATCCCAAAGCAGTTTCCCAAATATATTCTGTCTAGCCTTTATGTGAAGATATTTCATTTTTCACCATAGGCTGAAATGGGGCTCACAATAACCCTTTGCAGATTCTACAAAAAACAGTTTCCAAACTGCTCAGTGAAAAGAAATGTTCAACTCTGTGTGATGAATTCACACATGACAAGGAAGTTTCTCAGAAATCTTCTGTCTAGTTTTTTTGTGAAGGTATTTCCTTTTTCACCTTTATAGGCCTCAAAGCACTCACAAGTATCCCTCTGTAGATTTTAAAAGAACAGAGTTTCTAATCTGCTCAATGAAAAGAAACGTTTACCTCTGTGAGATGAATGCCAACATCCCAAAGCAGTTTCTCAGAAAGCTTCTGTCTAGTATTTATATGAAGATATTTCCTTTTCCACCATAGGCCTGAAAGGGCCTGCAAATATCCTTTTGCACATTCTACAAAAAGACTGTTTCCAGACAGCTCAATCAAAGAAAGGTTCAACTCTGTGAGATGAATGCAGTCATCAAAAGGAAGATTATCAGAAAGCTTCTGTTTAGTTTTTATGTGAAGATATTTCCCTTTTCTCCATTGGCCTCAACGTGCTTCCATATATCCCTTTGCAGATTCTACAAGAATAGAGTGTACAATCTGCTCAATGAAAAGAAACCTTTACCTCTGTGAGATGAATGCACACATCACAAAGCAGCTTCTCAGAAAGCTTCTGTCTAATTTTTATGTGAAGCTATTTCCTATTTCACCATAGACCTCAAGAGGCTCACTAATATCCTTTGCAGATTCTACAAAAAGACTGTTTCCATACAGCTCAATCAAAAGTAAGGTTCAGATCTGTGAGAAGAATGCACACATCACAAAAAGTTTCTCAGGAAACTTCTAACTAGTTTTTATGTGAAGATATTTACTTTTTCACAATAGGCCTCAATTGGCTCAAAAATGTCCATTTGCAGATTCTATAAAAAGACTGTTTCCAAACTGCTCAATCAAAAGAAAGGTTTAACTCGGTGAGATGAATGCACACATCACAAAGAAGTTTCTCAGAAAGCTTCTGTCTAGTTTTTATGTGAAGATATTTCCTTTTTCACCATAGGCCTCAAATGGCTCACAAATACACCTTGTCAGATTCTATAAAAACACTGTGCCAAACTGCTCAATCAAAAGAAAGTTTCAACTCCATGAGATGAACGCACACATCACAAAGAAGTTTCTCAGGAAGCTTCTGTCTCATTTCATGTGAAGGCATTTCCTTTTATACCATAGGCCACAGAGCAAACACAAATATCCCATTGCAGATTCTACAAAGAGACTGCTTCCAAACTGCTCAATCAAAAGAAAGGTTCAACCATGTGAGATGCATGCACACATCAAAAAGAAGTTTCTCAGAATGCTTATGTCTAGTTTTTATGTGACCATATTTCCTTTTTCACCATAGCCCTCAAAGTGCTCACAAATATGATTTTGCAGATTCTAAGAGAACAGAGTACTCAATCTGCTTAATGAAAACAAACGTTTACATAGGTGAGATGAATGCACTCATCAGAAAGCAGTTTCATGGAAACCTTCTCTCTAGCTTTTCTGTGAAGACATTTCTTTTTCACCATAGGCCTTAAAGGGATCACAAATATCCATTTACAGATTCTACAAAACGACTGGTTCCAAACTGCTCCATCAAAAGAAAGGTTCAACTCTGGGACATGAATTCACACATAACAAAGAAGTTTCTCAGAAAGATTCTGACTAGTTTTTATGTGAAGATGTTTCCTTTTTCACCATAGGCCAAAAGCACTCACAAATATCCCTTTGCAGATTCTACAAGAACAGAGTTTCCAATCTGCTCAATGAAAAGAAACGTTTACATCTGTGAGATGAATGCACACATCACAGAGCAGTTTCTCAGAAACTTTCTGTCTAGTTTTTATGTGAAGATGTTTCCTTTTTCACAATAGGCCTAAAAGTTCTCACAAATATCCCTTTGCAGATTCTATAAAAAGACTGTTTCCAAACTGCTAAATTAAAACAAAAGTTCACCTCTATGAGATGAATGTACACATCACAGAGAAGTTTCTCAGAAAGCTTCTGTCTAGTTTTTATGTGAAGTTATTTCCTTTTTCTCAATAGGCATCAAACAGCTCACAACTATCCCTTTGCAGATTCTACAGAAAGACTGTTTCCTGATTGCTGAATGAAAAGAAAGTTTCAATTCTGTGAGATGAATGCACACATCACACGGAAGTTTCTCAGAAAGCATCTGTCTAGTTTTTATGTGAAGATTTTTCCCTTTTCAACAGAGGCCTCAAAGTGCTCACAAATATTTCTTTGCAGATTCTACAAAAACAGAGTTTCCAATCTGCTCAATGAAAAGAAATGTTTCATGATGTGAGATGAATGCATACTTCACAAAGCATCTTCTCAGAAAGCTTCTGTCTATTTTTTATGTGAAGATATTACATTTTACACCATAGGCCTCGAAGGGCTCACAAATATCCTTTTGCAGTCTCTACAAAAAGACTGGTTCCCAACTGCTGATTCAAAAGAAATGTTCAACTCTGTGAGATGAATGCACATATGACAAAGAAGATTCTCAGAAAGCTTCTACCTAGTTTTTATGTGAAGATATTTCCTTTTACACCATGGGCCTCTAAGCACTCAGAAATATCCCATGGCAGATTCTACAAAAAGACTACTTCCAAACTGCTCACTAAAAAGAAAGTTTCACCTCTTTGAGATGAATGGACCCATCAAAAAGAAGTTTCTCAAAAAGCTTCTGCTAGTTTTTATATGAAGATATTTCCTTTTTCACATGGGCCTCAAACCACTCACAAATATCCCTTTGCAGATTCTACAAAAAGACTGCTTCCAAACTGCTCAATAAATGGAAAAGTACAACTCTGTGAGATGAATACACACATCACAAAGTAGTTTCTCAGAATAGTTCTGTCTAGTTTTTATGTGATGATATATCCTTTTTCACCATAGGCCTCAAAGTGCTCAAAAATATCCCTTTGCAGATTCTGCAAAAAGACTGTTTCCATACCTCTCAATGAAAAGAAAGCTTCAAATATGTGAGATGGATGCACACATCACAGATAAGTCTCTCAAAAAGCTTCTTTCTAGTTTTTATGTGAAGATATTTCATTTTTCTCAATAGGACTCAAACTGCTCACAACTATCCCTTTGTAGATTCTACAGAAAGATGGTTTCCAAACTCCTCAATCAAAAGAAATGTTCCATCCTGTGAGTTGAATGCACACATCACAGGGAAGTTTCTCAGAAAGCATCTGTTTAGTTATTATGTGAAGATGTTCCATTTTTCACTGGAGGCCTCAGGGTGCTCAAAAATATTCCTTTGCAGATTCTACAAGAACAGAGTTTCCAATCTGCTTAATGAAAAGAAACATTTACATCTGTGAGATGAATGCATACATCACAAAGCAGTTCCCCAGAACCATTCTGTCTAATTTTTATGTGAAGATATTTCCTATTTCACCATAGGACTCAAAGGGCTCACAAATATCCCTTTGAAAACCCTACAAAAAGACTGGTTCCAAACTGCTCAATCAAATGAAAGTTTCAAATCTGTGAGATGAATGCACTCATCATAAAGAAGTTTTTCAAAAAGCTTCCATCTAGTTTTTATGTGGACTTATTTCCTTTTTCACCGTAGGCTTTAAACCTCTCACAAATATCCCATTGCAGATTCTACAAAAAGACTGTTTTCAAGCTGCACAATCAAAAGATAGTTTCACCTCTGTGAGATGAATACACACATCACAAAGAAGTTTCTCTGAAAGCTTCTGTCTGGTTTGTATGTGAGGATATTTCCTTTTTCTCCATAGGCCTCAAACAGCTCACGAGTATCCCTTTGCAGATTTTGCAAAAAGACTTTTTCCAAACTGATCAATCAAAATAAAGTTTCAACTCTGTTAGATGCATGTGCACATCACAAAGAAGTTTCTCAGAAAGCTTATGTCCAATTTTTATGTGAAGATATTTCCTTTTTCACCATGGGCCTCAAACTGCACGAAACTATCCCTTTGCATATTCTAGGAAAAGATTGTTTCCAATCTGCTCAATCAAAAGAAAGGTTCACCTGTGTGAGATGAATGCACACATCACAAATAAGTTTCTCAGAAAGCTTCTGTCTAGTTTTTAGTTGAAGATATTTCCTTTTTCACCATAGGCCTCAAAGCACTCAGAAATATCCCTTTGCAGATTCTACAAGAACAGAGTTTCCAATATGCTCAATGAAATGAAATTTTTGTCTGTGAGATAAATGCACACATCACAAAGCATTTTCTCAGAAGCCTTCTGTGTAGTTTTTATGTGAAGATATTTCCTTTTTCACCATTGGCTTCAAAGGGCTCCCAAATATCCCTTTGCAGATTCTTCAAAAAGACTTTTTCCAAACTGCTCAATCAAAACATAGGTTCAACACTGTGAGATGAATGAACAAATCACAAAGAGTTTTCCCAGAAAATTTCAGTCTAATTTTTTTTTTTTTTTTTTTTTTTTGAGACGGAGTCTCACTCTGTCGCCCAGGCCGGACTGCGGACTGCAGTGGCGCAATCTCGGCTCACAGCAAGCTCCGCTTCCCGGGTTCACGCCATTCTCCTGCCTCAGCCTCCCGAGTAGCTGGGACTACAGGCGCCCACCACCGCGCCCGGCTAATTTTTTGTATTTTTAGTAGAGACGGGGTTTCACCTTGTTAGCCAGGATGGTCTCGATCTCCTGACCTCATGATCCACCCGCCTCAGCCTCCCAACAGTCTAATTTTTATGTGAAGACATTTTTTTTCTCATAATAGGCCTAAAAGGGCTCACAAATATCCCTTTGCAGGTTCTATAAAAAGACTTTTTCCAAACTGCTCAATGAAAAGAAATGTTCCAATCTGTGTGATGAATGTACACATCACAAAGAATTTTCTAACAAAGCTTCTTTCTAGTTTTTATGAGAAGATATTTCCTTTTTCACCTTAGGCTTCACACCACTCAAAAATACCCATTGCAGATTACACAAAACGACTGTTTCCTACCTGCTCAGTCAAAAGAAAGTTTCAACACTGTGAGGTGAATGCACACATGACAAAGATGCTTCTCAGAAAGCTTCTGTCTAGTTTTTACGTGAATATGTTTCCTTTTTCACCATCGGCCTCAAACCACTCACAAATATCCTTTTGTGGATTCTACAAGAATACTGTTTCCAAACTGCTCAATCAAAACGAAGTTTCAACTCTGTGAGAAGAATGCCCACATCACAAAGAAGTTTCTCAGTAAGCTTCTGTCTACTTTTTATGTGAAGATAGTTATTTTTCACCAAAGGCCTCGAAGGTCTCACAAATATACCTTTGCAGACTCTACAAAAAGACTGCTTCCAAACTGCTCAATCAAAAGAAAGGTTCAAATGTGTCAGATGAATGCTCATATGACAATGAAGATTCTCAGAAAGCTTCTGCCTAATTTTTATGTGAAGATATTTCCTTTTACACCATTGGCCTCAAAGCACTCACAAATATTCCATTGCAGAATCCACAAAAAGATTGTTTCCACACTGACCAATCAAAAGAAATGTTCAACTGTGTGAGATGAATGCACACATCACAAAGAAGTTTCTCAGAAAGCTTCTGCCTAGTTTTTATGTGAAGATATTTCCTTTTTCACCTTGGGCCTCAAATGACTCAAAAATATCCCTTTGCACTTTCTACAAAAAGACTGTTTCCAAGCTGCCCAATCAAAAGCAATGTTGAATTCTGTGAGATGAATGCACACATCCCAAAGAAGTTTCTCAGAATGCTTCTGTGTAGTTTTTTTGTGATGATATATCCTTTTTCAGCATAGGCCTCAAATCGCTCACAAATATCAGTTTGAAGATTCTGCAAAAAGACTGCTTCCAATCTGCTCAATCAAAAGAAAACTTCAGTTCTGTGAGATGAATGCACACATCACAGAGAAGTTTCTCAGAAAGCTTCTGTCTAGTTTTTATGTAAAGATATTTCCTTTTTCACCTTTGGCCTCAAAGCACTCAAAAATATCCCTTTGAAGATTCTACAAAAAGACTCTTTCCAAACTGCTCAATCAAAAGAAAGATTGAACTCTGTGAGATGGATGGACACAACACAAAGAAGTTTCTCAGAAAGCTTCTGTCTAGTTTTTATGTGAAGATATTTCCTTTTTCACCATACACCTCAAAATGCTCACAAATACCTTTTTGCAGATTCTACAAGATCAGATTTTCCAATCTGCTCAATGAAAGTAAACATTTACATCTGTGAGATGAATGCACACATCACAAAGCAGTTACATAGAAACATTCTGTCTCATTTTTATGTGAAGATATTTCCTTTTTCACCTTAGGCCTCAAAGTGCTCACAAACATCCCTTTGCAGATTCTACAAGAACAGAGTTTCCAATCTGCTCAATGAAAAGAAACGTTTACCTCTGTGAGATGAATGCACACATCACAAAACAGTTTCTCAGAAGCCTTCTTTCTAGTTTTTATGTGAAGTTATTTCCTTTTTCATCATAGGTTTGAAACGGCTCACAAATATCCCTTTGCAGATTCTACAAAAAGACTATTTCCAAAATGCTCAAAAAAAAGATAGGTTCAACTCTGTGAGATGAATGCACACATCACAAAGAAGTTTCTCAGAATGCTTCTGTCTGGTTTTTATGTGAAGATATTTCCTTTTTTACCGTAGGCCCTAAACAGGTCAAAAATATTCCTCTGCAGTTACTGCAAAAAGACTTTTTCCACACTGCTCAATGAAAAGAAAGTTTCACCTCTGTGAGATGAATGCACACATGACAAAGAAGTTTCTAAGAGAGTTTCTTTCTAGTTTTTATGTGACAATATTTCCTCTTTCACTATAGGCTTCACACTGCTCACAAATATCTCTTTGCAGATTATAAAAAAAGACTGTTTCCAACTTGCTCAGTCAAAAGAAAAGTTCAGCTCTGTGAGATGAATGGACACAACTCAAAGAAGTTTCTCAGAAAGTTTCTGTCCAGTTTTTATGTGAAGAAATTTCCTTTTTCATGGTAGGCCTCAAAGAGCTCAAAAGTATCCCTTGGCAGATTCTACAAGAAAAGAGTTTCCATCCTCTCAATGAAAAGAAATGTTTACATCTGTGAGATGAATCCACACATCACAAAGCAGTTTCCCAGAAACATTCTGTCTAGTTTTTATATGAAGATGTTTCCTTTTTCACCATAGGCCTCAAAGGGTTCAAAAATATCCCTTTGCATACTCTACAAAAACATTGGTTCCAGTCTCCTCAATCAAAATAAAGGCTCAACTTTGTCAGATGAATGCACATGAGACAAAGAAGGTTCTCAGAAAGCTTCTGTCTAGTTTTTATGTGAAGGTATTTCCTTTATCACCATATTTCTAAAAGCACTCAAAAATGTCCCATCACAGATCCACAAAAAGACTGGTTCCAAACTGCTCAATCAAAAGAAAGTTTCACCTCTGTGAGATGAATGCACACTTCAAAAAGAAGTTTCTCAGAAAGCTTCTGTCTAATTTTTATGTGAAGTCATTTCCTTTTTCACCATAGGTTTCAAAAGGCTCACAAATATCCCATTTGCAGATTCTAAAGAAAGACTGTTTCCACACTACTCAATGAAAACAAAGTTTCAATTCTGTGAGATGAATGTACACATTACATTGCTGTTTCTCAGAAAGTTTTTCCCTAGTTTTTATATGAAGATATTTCCTTTTTCACCATAGGCCACAAGGGCTCACAAATATGCCTTTGCAGAATCTATGAAAAGACTGGTTCCAAACTGCTCAACCAAAAAAAGATTCTACTATGTGAGATGAATGTACACGTCATGATGCTGTTTCTCAGAAAGCTTCTGTCTAGTTTTTATGTGAAGATATTTCCTTTTTCACCATAGGCCTCAAAGAGTTCACAAATATCCCATTGCAGATTCCTAAGAAAGACTGTTTCCACACAGCTCAGTCAAAAGAAAGTTTGAACTCTGTGAGATGAATGCAAACATCACAAAGAAGTTTCTCAGAAAGCTTCTGTCTAGTTTTTTGGAGAAGATATTTCCTTTTTAACCATGGGCCTCCAATCACTCACAAATATCCCTTTACAGATTCTACAAAAAGACTGCTTCCCAACTACTCAATCAAAAGAGAAGTTCAACTCTGTGAGATGAATGCACACATCACAAAGAAGTTTCTCAGAATGCTTCGGTCTAGTTTTTATGTGAAGATATATACTTTTTCACCACAGACCAGAAAGCATTCACAAATATCCCTTTGCAGATTCTACAAAAAGAGTGTTTCAAAACTGCAATATCAAAAGAAAGCTTCAAATCTGTGAGATGAATACACACATCACAGAGGAGTTTGTCAGAAAGCTTCTGTCTAGTATTTATGTTAAATGTTTCCTTTTTCATATTTGGCTTCAAACTGCTCACAAATATCCCTTTGAAGATTCTACTAAAAGACTTTTTCCAAACTCCTCAATCAAAAGAAAGGTTCAGCTCTGTGAGATGAATGGACACAACATAAAAAGTTTCTCAGAAAGCTTCTCTCTAGTTTTTATGTGAATATATTTCCTTTTTCACCATAGGCCTCAAAGGGCCCAGAAATATCCCATTGCAGATTCTGAAGAAAGACTGTTTCCACCCTGCTCAATCAAAAGAAAAGTTCAAATCTTTGAGATGCATGCCTCCATCACAAAGTAGTTCATGAGAAACCTTTTCTCTAGTTTTTATGTGAATATATTTCGTTTTTCACCATTGGCATGAAACCGCTCACAAATATCCCTTTGAAGAATCTACAAAAAGACTGTATCCAATCTCCTCAATCAAAAGAAAGGTTCAACTCTGTGAGATGAATGCGCTCATCACAAAGAAGTTTCTCAGAAGTCTTCTGACTAGTTTTTATGTGTAGATATTTCCTTTTTCACCATAGGCTTAAAAGTGCTTACAAATATCCCTTTGCAGATCCTACAAGAACAGAGTTTCCAATCTGGTCAATAAGAAAAAATGCTTATGTATGTGAGATGAATGAATACATCACAAAGCAGTTTCTCAGAAACAGTCTGTCTAGTTTCCATGTGAAGATATTTTCTTTTTCACCATAGACCTCAAATCCCTAATAAATATCCCTCTGTAAATTCTACAAAAAGATTGTTTCCAAACTGATCAATCAAAAGAAAGCTTCAACTCGGTGAGATGAAAGCCCACATCACAACGACGCTTCTCAGAAAGCTTCTGTCTAAGTTTTATGTGAAGATATTTCCTTTTTTCAACATAGGTCTTAAAGCACTCATAAATATCAATTGCACATTCTACAAAAAGACTGTTTCCAAACTGCTCAATCAAAGGAAAGTTTCCACTCTGTGAGATGAATGCACACATCAAAAGGAGTTTTCTCAGAAAGCTTCTGTCTAGTGTTTGCATGAAGATATTTCCTTTTTCACCATTGGCCTCAAAGTGCTCACAAACATCCCTTTGTAGATTCTACAAAAACACTGTTTCCAAACTGCTCAATCAAAAGAAAGTTTCAACTCTATTAGATGAAAGCACTCATCACAAAGAAGTTTCTCAGATTCTATCTAGTTTTATGTGAAGTTATTTCGTTTCTCACCATTGGTCTCAGCAGATTCTACAAGAACAGAATTTCCAATCTGCTCAATGAAAAGAAACTTTTATACCTGTGAGATTAATACGCACATCACAACACAGTTTCTCAGAAACCTTCTGTCTAGTTTTTACATGAAGACATTTCCTTTATCACCATAGGCCTGAAACGGCTCACAAATATCCCCTTACAGATTCTACAAGAAAAGATTTTCTAATCTCCTTAAAGAAAGGAAATGATTTCCTCTGTGAGATGAATGCTCAAAGGGCAAATCACTTTCTCAGAAAACTTCTGTCTAGTTTTTATGTGAAGATATTTCCTTTTTCACCATAGGCCTCAAAGGTCTCAAAAATATCCCTTTGCAGATTCTACCAAAGACTGTTTCCAAGCTGCTCAATGAAAAGAAAGATTCAAGTCTTTGAGAGGAATGCAGACATCACAAAGAAGTTCCTCAGAAAGTTTCTGTCTAGTTTTTATGTGAAGATATTTCCTTTTATACCATAGGCCACAAAGCACTCACAAATATCCCTTTGCAGATTTTAGAAGAAGAGTGTTTCCAATCTGCTTAACTAAAAGAAACGTTTACCACTGTGAGATGAATAGACACATCAAAAAGCAGTTTCTCAGAAACATTCTGTCTAGTTTTTAATGTGAAGATATTTCCTTTTTCAGCATAGGCCTCAAACCGCACACAAATATCCCTTTGCACATTCTAGAAAAAGTCTGTTTCCAAACTGCTTAATCAAAAGAAAAGTTCAAATCTGTGAGATGAATGGACACATCACAAAGAACTTTCTTGTGAAGCTTCTGTCTAGTTTTTATGTGAAGATATTTCCTTTTTCACTATGGGCCTCAAAGGGCTCACAACTATCACTTTACAGATTCTGCAAAAAGACATTTTCAAAACTGCTCAATCAAAAGAAAGTTTCAACTCTGTGATATGACTGCACACATCACATAGAGGTTTCTCAGAAATCTTCTGTGTAGTTTTTATGTGAAGATAATTCCTTTTTTACCATAGAACTCAAAGCACTCAAAAAATCCATTTGGAGATTCTACAAGAACACATATTCCAATCTGCTCAATGAACAGAAACTTTTACCTCTGTGAGATGAAAGCGCATTTCACAAAGCTGTTTCTCAGAAAACTTCTGTCTAGTTTTTATGGGAAGATATTTCCTTTTTACGATTGGCCTCACAGCACTCACAAAATCCCTTTGCAAATTCTCCAAAAGAGTGTTCCAAACTGCTCAATCAAAAGAATGGTTCAACTCTGTTAGAGAAAGGCACACACTACAAGGAACTTTCTCAGAAAGTGTCTGTCTAGTTTTTATGTGAAGATATTTCCTTTTTCACCATAGGACTCAAAGCGCTCACAAATATTCCTTTGCAGATTCTACAAGAACAGAGATTCCAAACTGGTCAATTAAAAGAAACGTTTACCTCTATGAGATGAGTGCACCTATCACTAAGCAGTTTCTCAGAAACCATCCTTCTAGTTTTCATGTGAAGATATTTCCTTTTACACTGTAGGCCTCCAAGGGCTCACAAATATCCCTTTGAAGTTTCTACAATAAGACTGTTTCCAAACTACATAATCCAAAGAAAGGTTCAACTCTGTGAGATAAATGCACACATTACAAAGAAGTTTCTCAGAAGGCTTCTGTGTATTTTTTATGTGACTATATTTCCTTTTTCACCATAGGCATCAAAATGCTCACAAATATCCCTTTGCAGATTCTACACGAACAAGGTGTCCAAACTGCTTAAAGAAACGTTTACCTCTGTGAGATGAGTGCACACATAACAGTGCAATTTCTCAGAAACCTTTCTAGTATTTATGTGAAGATATTTCCTTTTTCACCATAGACATCAAAGAGCTCACAAATATCCCTTTGCAGATTCTAGAAGACAGGGTTTCCAAACTGCTTAATGAAAAGAAAAGTTTCCCTCTGTGACATGAATGCACACATCACAAAGCAGTTTATCAGAAATCTTCTTTGTAGTTTTTATGTGAAGATATTTCCTTTTTCACCATAGGCCTCAAAGGGCTCACAAATATCCCTTTGCAGATTCTACCATAAGACTGTTTCCAAACTGCACAATCAAAAGAGTGGTTTAACTCTGTGAGATGAATGTACACATCACTAAAAAGTTTCTCAGAAAGCTTCTGTCGTGTTTTTATGTGAAGATATTTCGTTTTTCAACATAGGCCTCATGGCTTTCAAAATATTGCTTGCAGATTCTAGAAGAACAGAGTTTCCAAACTGCTCAATGAAAACAAACGTTTACTTGTGTGAGATGAATGCATACATCACAAAGTAGTGTCTCAGAAATCTTCCTTCTAGTTTTCATGTGAAGAAATTTCCTTTTTCACCATAAGCCTCGACACAATTCCAAATATCTCTTTGCCAATTCTAAAAAATACTCTTTACACACTACTCAATCAAAGGAATGTTTCAACTGTTTGATATGAATGTACACCTCACAAAGAAGTTTCTCAGAAAGCTTCTGTCTAGTTTTTATTGTTGATATTTCTTTTTTCACCACAAAAATAAAAGCACTCAGAATTATCCCTCTGCAGATTCTAGAATAACAGAGTTTCCAAACTGCTCAATGAAAAGAATTGTTTACCTCTGTGAGATTAATGCACGCATCACTAAGCAGTTTCTCAGATAATTTCTTTCTATTTTTTTTTGAGACAGAGTCTCAATCTGTGGCCCAGGCAGGAGTGCAGTGTTGCAATCTTGGCTCACTGCAAGCTCTGCCTCCCAGGTTCATGTCATTCTCCTGCCTCAGCCTCCCGAGTAGCTGGGACTACAGGCACCCACCATCATGCCTGGCTAATTTTTTTATATTTTTAGTAGAGACGGGGTTTCACCATGTTAGCCAGGATGGTCTCGATCTCCTGACCTTGTGATCCACCCATCTCGGCCTCCCAAAGTGCTGGGATTACAAGCGTGAGTCACTGCACCTGGCCTCTTTCTATTTTTTATGTGAAGATATTTCCTTTTTCAACATAGGCCTTAATGCACTCCCAAATATCATTTTGCAGATTCTACAAAAAGATTTTTCCAAACTGCTCAATCAAAAGAATGGGTCAGCTCTGTGAGATGAATGCACACATCACAAAGTAGTTTCTCAGAAAGCTTCTGCCTATTTTTTATGTGAAGATATTTCCTTTTTCACCATAGTCCTCAAAGCTCTCACAAATATCCCTTTGCAGTTTCTCCAAGAACAGAATTTCCAAACTCCTCAATGAAAGGAAATGTTTAGTTCTGTGAGAGGAACGACCACATCACAAAGCAGTTTCTCAGAAAGCTTCTTTCTAGTTTTCATGTGAAGATATTTCCTTTTTCTCCATAGGCCTCAAAGGGCTCACAAATATCCCTTTGCAGACTCTACAAAAAGACTGGTTCCAAAGTGCTCAATGAAAAGAAAGTTTCAACTCTGTTAGATGAATGCACACATCACTAAGCAGTTTCTCAGATAGCTTCTGTCTTCTTTTTATGTGAAGATATTTCCTTTTTCACCATAGACCTCAACGTATACCTAATACCCCTTTCCAGATACTACAAAAAGACTGTTTCCAAACTCCTCCACCAAAAGAATGGTTCAACTCGGTGAGAGAAAAGAACACATCAAAAAGTAGTTTCTCAGAATGCTTCTGTCTAGTTTTTATGTGAAGATATTCCCTTTTCCGGCATAGGCCTCAAAGCACTCCAAATATCCACTTGCAGATTCTTCAAATAGAGTGTTTCAAATCTTCTCAAACAAAAGAATGGTTCAACTCTGTGAGATGAATGCACACATCACAAAGAAGTTTCTCAGAATGCTTCTGTCTAGGTTTTCTGTGAAGATATTTCCTTTTTCATCATTGGCCCCAAAGCACTCACAAATATCCCTTTACAGATTCATGAAGCACAGAATTTCTAAGTTGCTCAATGGAAAGAAACGTTTACTTCTGTTAGATGAATGCATACATCAGAAAGCCATTTCTCAGAAAGCTTCTTTCTAGTTTTTATGTGAATATATTTCCTTTTTCACCATAGATATCAAATTTCTCCCAAATATGTCTTTGTAGATACTACAAAAAGACTGTTTCCATACTGCTCAATGAAAAGAATGGAAAAACTCTGTGAGATGAATGCACACCTCACAAAGCAATTTCTCAGAAACCTTCTGTCTAGTTCGTTTCTGAAGATATTACATTTTGACCATAGGACTCAATGTGCTCCTAAAAAAACATTGTTTCTGAACTGTTCCATCAAAAGAAGGATTTAATTCTGTGAGATGAGTCACACATCAGAAATCAGTTTCTCATAACGCTTCTTTCCGGTTTTTATTTGAAGATATTTCATTTTCACCGTATGTTATTTTGTGCTACCAAATTTCGCTTCATTGTTTTTGCAAAAAGAGTTTTCCAAACTACTCTATCAAAAGAAAGATTAAACTCTGTAAGATGAATGCATGCATCACAGAGCTGTTTCTCAAAAACCACTTTCTAGTTTTTATCTGAAGATATTTCCTTTAACACCATAGGCATCAGTGCACTCCCAAATATCCCTTTGAAGATGCCACCAGAAACACTGTCTCCAAACCACTCAATCAAAAGAAACGTTAAAAACTGTGAGAAGAATTCACACATCACAAAGTGGCTTCTCAGAATTCCTCTTTCTCTTTTTTATCTGAAGTAATTTCCTTTTCCCCATAGGCCTCAAGTGCTCCTAAATATCCCTTCCCAGATTCTACAAAAACAGTGTTTCCAAAGTGATCCATCGAAGGAAAGGTTTAACTCTGTGAGATGAATGCACACATCAAAACCCAGTTTCTCAAAATGTTTCTTTTGAGTATTTTTCTGAAGATAATTCCTTTTTAACCATAGGCTTCATTGAGCTCCAAAATACCCCTTCGCAGATTTGACAAACACAGTGTTTACAAACTTTTCGATCAAAAGAAAGACTTAACTCGGTTAGGAGAATGCAGACATCAGAAAGCAGTTTCTCGTAATGCTTCTTTCTAGTTTTTATCTGAAGACATTTCCTTATTCACTATAGGCTTTTTCACTAAAAATATCACTTCACAGATTTTGGAAAAACAATGTTTCCAAACTCCTCAGTTTAACTCTGTGAGATGAATGCACACATCACAAACCAGATTATCAAAAAGCTTCTTTCTAGTTTTTCTCTGAAAATATTTCCTATATCACCATAGGTTTCAATGTGAGCCCAAATATCCCTTTGCAGATTCTAAAAAAACAGTGCTTCCAAACTGCTCAATCAGAAGAAACGTTGAACTATGTGAGAAGAATGCACTTATCATAAAGCGGTTTCTCAGAAAGCTTCTTTCTAGTTTTTATCTGAAGTTATTTCCTTCTTTCCCATAGGCCTCAGGGGCTCCCAAATATCCCTTGGTACATTCTACATAAACAGTGTTTTCAAACTGATCAATCAAAAGAGAGGCTTAACTCCTTGAGATGAATGCACACATCACAAAGCAGTTTCTCAAAAATATTCTTTCTAGTTTTTAATCCGAAGATATTTCCTTTTTCAGCATAGGCTTAAATGAGATCGCAATTATCCCTTGCAGAACCTACAAAAATGGTGTTTCCAAACTGCTCGATCAAAAGAAAGGTTTAACTCTCTGAGATGAATGCACACAAAACAAAGCAGTATCTCAGAATGCTTCTGTCTAGTTCTTTCTCTTAATATATTTCCTTTTCCATCGTATGCTTAAATACACTTTGAAATATCCCTTCACAGTTTCTATAAAAACAGTTTTTCTGAACTGTTCCATCAACAGAAGGATTTAAGTGTGTGAGATGAATGTACACATCAGAAATCAGTTTCTCATAATGCTTCTTTCCATTTTTTTATCTGAAGATATTTCTTTGTTCACCATAGGCTTTCTTGTGTTACCTAATATTGCTTCACAGATGTTGCAAAAACAGTGTTTACAAGCTGCCACATAAAAAGAAAGGTTTAACTCTGTGAGATGAATGCACACATCACAAAGCAGTTTCTCAAAACGCTTCTTTCCGTTTTGTATAGAATGATATTTTCTTTAACAACGTAGGTTTCAATGGGCTCCAAAGTATCTCATCACAGATTCTACAAAAATAGTTTGCAAATTGCTCAATCAAAAAAGAAATTTAACTCTGTGAGTTGAATGCACTCGTCACAAAGAATTTTCTCAAAAACCTCCTTTCTAGTTTTTCATGGAATATATTTCCTTTTTCACCATATGCCTCAGTGCACTCCCAAATATACATTTGCAGATTCTACAAAAACAGTGTTTCCAAACTTCTGAATGAAATGAAAGTTTTAACTCTATGAGATGAATGCACACCTCCCAGAGCAGATTCTCAGATAGCTTCTGAGTAGTTCTTCTCTGAAGATATTTCTTTTTCCACCCTAGGCCTCAATGTGCTCCCAAATATCCCTTTGCAGTTTCTATAAAAGGTGTTCGTGAACAGTTCCTTGAAAAGAAGCATTTAACTATGTGAGATGAATGCACACATCAGAAAGCAGTTTCTCAATACATTCTTTCTGGTTTTTATCTGAAGATATTTCCTTGTTCACCACAGGCTGTTTTGCACTAGCAAAAATCACTTCACAGATTTTCCAAAAACAGTGTTTCCAAACTGCTCAGTCAAAAGAAAGATTTAACTCTGTGAGATGAACGCACACATCACAAAGCAGTTTCTCAGAAAGATTCTGTCTAGTTCTTCTCTGATGATATTTCCTTTTACACCATAGGCCTCAATGTGCTTGCAAATATCCCTGTGCAGAGTCTTCAAAAACAGTGTTTCCAAATTTTTCCATCAAAAGAAGAACTTAACTCTGTGAGATGAATGTACACATCAGAAAGCAGTTTCTCATAATGCTTCTTTCCAGTTTTTATCTGAAGATAGTTCCTTTTCCATCATAGGCTTTTCTGCACTACATAATATCGCTTCACACGTTTTGCAAAAACAGGGCTTCCAAGCTACTCAGTCAAAAGAAAGATTTCATTCTGTGAGGTGAATGCACACATCACAAAGCATTTTCTCAAAAAGCTTCTTTCTAGTTTTTATCTGAAGTTATTTTCTTAATCACCATAGGCTTTAATGCACTCCCAAATATCCCATCACAGGATATACAAAAACAGTGTTTCCAAATTACTCAAACAAAAACCAGGTTTATCTGTTTGTTGAATGCACACATCACAAAGCAGTTACTCAAAAAGCTTCTTTCAAGTTTTAATCCAAAGATATTATCTTTTTCAACATAGGCCTCACTGCCCTCCAGAATATCCCTTTGCAGATTCTACAAACACAGTGTTTCCAAACTGATCAATCAAAAGAATGGTTTACCTCTTTGACATGAATGCACTCATCACAAGGCAGTTTATCAAATAGCTTCTGTCTAGTTCTTCTGTGAAGGTATTTCCTTTTCCACCATAGGCCTCAATGTGCTCCCAATTATCCCTTTGCAGATTCTATAAAAACAGTGCTTCTGAACTGTTCCATCAAAAGAAGGACTTAAATCTGTGGGATGAATGCACAAATTAGAAAACAGTTTCTCATAACGCTTCTTTCCAGTTTTATCTGAAGACATTTCCTTGTTCACCCTAGGCATTTTTGCGCTACGTAGCATTGCTTCACAGATTACACAAAAACAGTTTTTTCCAAAGTGTTCAGTGAAAAGAAAAGTTTAGCTCTGTGAGATGAGTTCATACATTACAAAGCACTTTTTCAAAAAGTTTCTTTTAACTTTTTATCCAAAGATATTTCCCTTTTCACAATAGGCCTCAATGGGCTCCACAGTATCCTTCACAGATCCTGTAAAAAAAAAGTATTTCCAAACTGCTCAATCAAAAGCAATGTTTAACTCTGTGAGATGAATGCACACATCACAAAGCAGTTTCTGAAAAAGCTTCTTTCTAGTTTTTATCTGAAGTTATTTCCTTTATCACCATAGCTTAAACACATTCCCAAATATCCCATCACCAATTCTACAAAAAGTGTTTCCAAACTCCTCAATCAAAGCATAGGTTTAACTCTGTGAGCTGGATGCACACCTCACAAAGCAATGTCTCAAAAAGCGTTTTTCTTGTTTCTACAAGAAGATATTTCCTTTTTCACCATAGGACTCAGTGCGCTGTAAAATATACTTTTGCAGACTCTACAAAAACAGTGTTTCCAAACTGCTCAATCAATGGAAAAATTTAACTCTGTGAAATGGGTGCACACATCAAAGCAGTTTCCCAAATAGCTTCTATCTAGTTCTTCTCTGAAGATATTTCCTTTTCCACAATAGGCCTCAATGGGCTCCCAAACATCCCTTCGCAGATTCCATAACAACAGTGTTTCTGAACTGTTCCATCAAAAGAAGGAATTAAATCTGTGAGATTAATGCACTCATGAGAAAGCAGTTTCTCAGAATGCTTCTTTTCTCTTTTCATCTGAAGATATTTCCTTGTTCACCATACTCCTTTTTGTGCTACCTAACATTGCTTCGCAGACTATACAAAAATAGTTTTTCCAAACTGCTCTATCAAAAAACAGGTTTAACTCTGTGAGTTGTACTCACACATCACACAGCAGTTTCTCAAAAAACTTATTTCTTTTTTTATCTGAATATATTTCCTTTTTCACCATAGGCCTCATTGCACTCCCAAGTATACCTATGCAGATTCTACAAAAACAGTGTTTCCAAATTGCTGAATCAAAAGAAAGGTTTAACTCTGTGCGATGAGTGCACACATCCCAAAGCATTTTCTCAGATAGCTTCTGACTAGTTCTTCTCTGGAGATACTTCCTTTTCACTGTAGGCCTCAATGTGCTCCCAAATATCCCTTCCCAGATTCAGTAAAAAAAGTGTTTCTGAGCTGTTAAATCAAAAGAAGGATTTACGTCTAGATGAATGCAAACATCAGAAAGAAGTTTCTCGTAACACTTCTTTCCAGTTTTTATCTGAAGATATTTGTTTTCCACCATAGGCTTTTTGTACTACCTAACATCACTTTGCAGAATATACAAAAACAGTGTTTCCAAACTGCTCAGTCAACAGAAAAGTTTAACTCACTGAGATGAATGCACACATCACAAAGCTGTTTATCTAAAAGCTATTTTCTAGTTTTTATCGGAAGATATTTCCTTTTTCACCATAGGCATCAGTGTACTCACAAATATCCCTTTGCAGATTGTACAAAAACAGTGTTTCCAAACTGCTCAATCAAAAGAAACGTTTAACTCTGTGAGAAGAATGCACACATCACAAAGTTGTTTATCAGAAAGATTCTTTCTATTTTTATCTGAAGTTATTTCCTTTTTCACCATAGGACTCATGCCCTACAAATTATCCCTCACAGATTCTAAAATAACAGTATTTCCTAACTGATCAACCAAAAGAAAGGTTTAGCTCTGTGATATGAATGCACACATCACAAGACACTTTCTCAGATAGCTTCTGTCTCGTTCCCCTCTGAAGATATTTCCTTTGTCACATTAGGCCTGAAGGTGATCCCAAATATCCCTCCGCAGAATGTGTAAAATCATTGTTTCTGAACTGTTCCATCAAAAGAAGGATTTAATGCTGTGAGATAAATGCACACATCAGAAAGCAGTTTCTCATAAAGGTTTTTCCAGTTTTTATATGAAGACATTTCCTTGTTCACCATAGGCCTCTTTTGTGCTACCTAACATCGCTTTGCAGATTTTACAACAAGAGTGTTTCCAAACTGCTCAATCAATAGAAAGGGTTAATTCTTTGAGATGAATGCAAACATCACAACGCAGTTTCTCATAAAGGTTTCACCTTGTTCTTCTATGAAGATGTTTCCTGGCCTCAATATGCTCCCTAATATCCCTTCTCAGATTATACAAAAACAGTGTTTTGAAACAGCTCCATCAAAAGAAGGACTTCACTCAATGAGATGAACGCATACATCAGAAAGCAGCTTCTCATAAAGCTTCCTTCCAGTATTTATCTGAAGATATTTCCTTGTTCACAATAGGCTTTTTTGTGCAACCTAGTATTGCTTTGTATATTTCACAGAAACAGTGTTTCCAAACTGCTCATTCAAATCAAAGGTTTAACTCTGTGAAATGAATGCACACATCACAAAGCAATTCCTCAATATCTTCTTTCTAGTTTTTATCCAAAGATATTTCCTTTTTCACCACAGGCTTCAATGGGCTCCCAAATATCCCATCAGAGATTCTACAAAAGTACTGTTTCTAAACTGCTCAATCAAAAACAGGTTTAACACTGTCAGTTGAATGCACATATCACAAAACAGTTTCACAAATGTTTCTTTCTAGTTTTTATCTGAAGATATTTTCTTTTTCTTCATAGGCCTCAGTGAGCTCCCAAATACACATCTGCAGATTCTACAAAATCAGGGTTTCCAACTTCTCAATCAAAAGAAGGACTCAACTCTGTGAGATGAACGCACACATCAGGAAGCAGTTTCTCAAAAACCTTCTCTCTAGTTTTTAACTGAACATATTTCCTTTTAAACCATCGGTCTCTGTGTGCTCCCAAATATACCTTTGCAGATTCTACAGAAACAGTGATTCCAAACGCTTCAATCAAAAGAAAGTTTTAACTCTGGGTGATGAATGCATGCATCACAAAGCAGTTTCTCATATAGCTTCTGTCAAGTTTTTCTCTGAAGATATTTCCTTTTCCACCATAAACTTCAATGCCCTCAGAAATATCCCTATACAAATTCTATAAAAACAGTGTTTCCAAACTGTTTCATCTAAACAAGGATTTAACTCAATGAGATGAATGTACACATCAGAAAGCAGTTTCTCATAATGTTTCATTCCAGTTTTTATCTGAAGATATTTCCTTGTTCATCATAGGCCTTTTTGCACTACAGAACATCGCTTTGCAGATTATACAAAAACAGTGTTTCCAAACTGCTCAGTCAGAAGAAAAATTTAACTCTGTGAGATGAATGCACACATCACAAAGCAGTATCTGAAAAAGTTTCTTTCTAGTTTTTATCTGAAGATGTTTCCTTTTTCCCCATAGGCTTAGTGTGCTTGCTAATATCCCTTTGCAGATTCTACAAAAATAGTGTTTCCAAACTGTTCCATCAAAAACAGTGCTTCAAAAAAACACTACAAAAACTGCTTCCAAACTGTTTCCAAACCGTTCAATCAAAAGAAACGTTTAACTCTGTGAGAGGAATGCACACATAACAAAATGGTTTCTCAGAAAGCTTCTTTGTGGTTTTTATCTGAAGTTATTTCCCTTTTCACAAGAGACCTCGTGTGCTCCAAAATATCCCTTGCAGGTCCTTCAAAAACCGTATTTCCAAACTGATCAATCAAAAGAAAGCTTTAACTCTGTCACACGAATGTACGCATCACAAAGCTGTTTCTCAGGAAGCTTCTGTCTAGTTCTTCTCTGAAGATATTTCCATTTCCAAGATAGACCTCAGTGCGTGCCCAAATATCCCATTGCAGATTCTACAAAAACTGTGTTTCCAAACTGTTCCATCAAAAGAAGGACTTAACTCAGTGAGATGAATGCCCATATCAGAAAGCAGTTTCTCATAACACTTCTTTGCTGTTTTTATCCGAAGTTATTTCCTTTTTCACCATAGGCTTCAATGAGCTCCCAAATATCCCTTCACAGACTCTACAAAAACAGTGTTTCCAAACTCCTCAAACACAAAAAAGATGTAACTCTGTGAGATGAATATACTTATCCCAAAGCAGTTTCTCAGAAAGCTTCTTTCTAGTTTTTCTCTGAAGATATTTCCTTTTCCACCACAGGATTCAATGCACGCCCAAATATCCCTTTGCAGTTTCTACAAAAACAGTGTTTCCAAACTATTTTATCAAAAGAATGATTTAACTCTGTGAGATGAACGCATATATTTGAGAGCCATTTCTCATAATGCTTCTGTCCAGTTTTTATGTGAAGATATTTCCTTTTTCACCATTGGCTTTTTTGTGCAACCAAATGTCACTTCGCAGATTTAGCAAAAACATTGTTTCCAAACTACTCACTCATAAGAAAGGTTTAATTTTGTGAGATGAATGCACACATTACAAGGCAGTTTCTCAAAAAGCTTCTGTCTAGTTTGTGTCTGAAGATATTTTCTTTATCACAATAGGCTTCAATGCACTCCCAAATATCCCTTTGCAGATTCTATGAAAACAGTGTTTACAAAGTGCTCAATTAAAAAAAGAGGTTTAACACTGTGAGTTAAATGCACACTTCACCAAGTAGTTTCTCAAAAAGTTGCATTCTGTTTTTAGCCAAAGATGTTTCCTTTTTCACAATAGGCAACAGTGCTCTCTTAAATATACCTTTGCAGTTTTTAAAAACACTGTGTTTCCAAACTGCTCAATCAATAGAAAGGTTTAACTCTGTTAGGTGAAAGCACATATCACAAAGCAGTTTCTCAGAAAGCTTCTGTCTAGTTATTCTCTGAAGATATTTCCTTTTCCATGTCAGGATTCAATGCGCTCCTAAATGTCCCTTCTCAGATTCTACAAAAACAGTGTTTCCAAACTGCTCAATCAAAAGAAAGGTTTAACTCTGTGAGATGAATGCACCCATCACAAAGCACTTTCCCAGAAAGTTTCTGTCTAGTTCTTCTCAGGATATTTCCTTTTAAAGCATAGGCCTCAATACACTCCCTAATATCCCTTTGGAGATTCTACAAAGACAGTGTTTTGAAACTATTCCATCAAAAGAAGGTATTAACTCGGTGAGATGAATGCACACATCAGAGAGTAGTTCCTCATAATGCTTTTCTCCAGTTTTTATCTGAAGATATTTTCTTTTTCACCATAGGATTTATTGTGCTATCTAATATTGCAGATTTCACAAAAACAGCGTTTCCAAAACTTCTCAGTCAACAGAAAGGCTTAACTCTGGGAAATGAATGCACACATCAGAAAGCAGTCTCTCAAAAAGCTTCTTTGTAGTTTTTATGCAAAGGTATTCCCTTTATCACAATAGGCTTCAATGTGCTTCCAAATATCCCATTGCATATTCTACAAAAACAGTGTTTCCAAACTGCTGAATCAAAAAACAGGTTTACCTCTGTGAGATGAATGCACACATCACAAAGCAGTTTCTGAGAATGCTTCTATCTAATTCTTCTCTGAAGATATTTAATTTTCCCCCATAGGCCTCAATGAGCTCCCAAATATCCCTTCACACATTCTAAATAACAGTGATTCCAAACTGTTACATGAAAAGAAGGACTTAACACTGTGAGATTATTGCACACGTCAGAAATCAGTTTCTCACAATGCTTCTTTCCAATTTTTATCTGATGATATTTCCTTTTTCACCATAGCCTTTTTCGCACTATCTATTATCGCTTCTCAGATATTGCAAAAACAGAGATTCCAATCTGCTCAGTCAAAAGAAAGGTTTACCTCTGTAAGGTGAATGCACACATCACAAAGCAGTTTCTCAAACATCTCTTTTCTAGTTTTTATCTGAAGATATTTTGCTTATCACTACAGGCTTCAATGCACTCCAAAATACCCATTACAGATTCTACTAAAACAGTGTTTCCAAAATGCTAAACCAAAAAACAGGCTTAACTCTGTGAGTTGAATGCACACATCACAAAGCAATTTCACAAAAAGCTTTTTCCTGGATTTTATACAAAGATATTTCCTTTTTCAACATAGGCCTTGGTGCACTCCCAAATATACCTTTGCAGAATCTACAAAACCAGTGTTTCCAAACTGCTCAAAGAAGAATTTAACTCCGTGAGATGAAGGCACACATCCCTAAGCAGCTTCTAGTAACGTGTCTTTCCAGTTTTTATCTGAAGATATTTCCTTTTTCAGCATAGGCCTCAGTGCACTCCCAAATATAGCTTTGCAGAATCTACAACACCAGTGTTTCCAAACTGCTCAAAAAAAAGAAGAATTTAACTCTGTGAGATGAAGGCACACATCCCTAAGCAGTTTCTAGTAACATGTCTTTCCAGTTTTTATCTGAAGATATTTCCTTGTTCACCATAGGCCTTTTTGCACTACCTAACATCCCTTCACAGATTATAAAAAGTGTTTACAAACTGCTGTGTGAAAGAAAAGTTTAACTCTGTGAGATGACCGTACACATCAAAAAGCAGTTTCTCAAAAAGCTTCTTTCTAATTTTTATCCAAAGTTATTTAGTTTTTCACAGCAGGCATCAGTGCTCTACAAAATATCCCTTTGCATATTCTACAAAAACAGTAATTTCAAACTGTTCAATCAAATGAAACTTTTAAATCTGTGAGAAGAATGCACACATCACAAAACATTTTCTCAGAAATGTCCTTTCTAGTTTTCATCTGAAGTTATATCCTTTTTCACCATGGGCCTTGTGCATTCCCAAGTATCCAATCACAGATTCTACAAAAACAGTGTTTCCTAACTGACCAATCAAAAGAAAATTTTAACTCTTTTACATGAATGCACACATCACAAAGCAGTTTCTCAGAAAGTTTCTATTTCTTCTCTGAAGATATTTCCATTTCCACCATACAACTCAATGTGCTCCAAAATATCTTTTCACAGATTCTACAAAAAAAAAGTGTTTCCAAACTATTCCATCAAAAGGACTAAAATCTGTGAGATGAAGGCACACATCAGAAAGCAGTTTCTCATAACGCTTCTTTCCTGTTTTTATCTGAAGTTATTTACTATTTTACCATAGGCCTCATGTGCTCCCAAATATCCCCTCACAGATTCGACAAGAACAGTGTTTCCAAACTGCTCAATCAAAAGGAAGGTTTAACTCTCTGAGATGAGGGTACACGTCACATAGCATTTTCTCAGGTAACTTCTGTCTTGTTCTTCCCTGAAGATATTTCCTTTTCCACCACAAGCCTCAATGCACTCCCAAATATCCCTTTGCAGCTTCTATAAAAACAGTGTTTCTGAACTGTTCCATGAAAGGAAGCATTGAACTCTGAGAGATGAATTCACACATCAGAAAGCAGTTTTTCATAATGCTTCTTTTCAGTTTGTATCTGAAGATATTTCCTGGTTCACCATAGGACTTTTTGCACTACATAACATCGCTTTGCAGATTATAGAAAAACAGTGTTTCCAAACAACTCAGTCAAAAGACAGATTTAACTCTGTGAGATGAATGCATGCATCACAAAGCAGCTTCTGAAAAAGATTATTTTTAGTTTTTGTTAGAAGATATTTCCTTTTTCACCATAGGCTTCAATGCACTCCCAAATATCTTTTTGTATATTGTACAAAAACAGTGTTTCCAAACAGCTTAATCAAAATAAATGTTTACCTCTGTGAGAAGAATGCAAACATCACAAACAGGTTCCTCAGAATGCTTCTTTCTAGTTTTTATCTGAACTTATTTCCTTTTTCACCATAGGCCTCATGCACTACAAAATATACCTTCTCAGATTCTACAAAAACAGACTTTCCAAACAGATAAATCAAAAGAAGGTTTGACTCTGTGAGATGAATGCACACATCACAAAGCAGTTTCTCAAAAAGCTTTTTTCTAGTTTTTATCCAAAAATGTTTCCTTTTTAACCATAGGCTTCTATGTGCTCCCAATTATCCATTCACAGATTGTACAAAAACAGTGTTTCCAAAATGCCCCATCAAAAGAAATGTTTGACTCTCTCAGATGAATGCACACATCACAAGGCAGTTTCTCAGAAAGCGTCTGTCCAGTTCTTCTCTGAAGATATTTCATTTTCCACCATAGGCCTCTCTGTGTTCCCAAATATGCCTTCACAGATTCTACAAAAACAGTGTTTCCAATCAGTTCCAACAAAAGGAAAGTTTAACTCTGTGAGTTGAATTCACAAATCACCAGGCAGTTTCTCAGATAGCTTATGTCTAGTTCTTCTCTGAAAATATTTCCTTTTCCACCATAGACCTCAATGTGCTCCCAAATATCCCTATGCGGATTCTATAAAAACAGCATTTCTAAACTGTTCCATCTAAGGAAGGACTTAACTCTGTGAGATGAAAGCAGTTTCTCATAAGGCTTCTTTCCAGTTTTTATCTGAAGATATTTTCTTCTTAACCATAGGCTTCTTTGCACTATATATTATCGTGTTGCAGATTTTGCAAAAACACTGTTTCCAAACCACTCAGTCAAAGGAAAGTTTAACTTTGTGAGATCAATGCACACGTTACAAAGCAGTTCCTCAAAAAGCCTCTTTCTAATTTTTATCTGAAGCTATTTCCTTTTTCACAATAGGATTCAATGCACTCCCAAATATTTCTTTGCAGATTTTACAAAAACAGTGTTTCCAAAGTGCTCAATCAAAAAACAGGTTTAATTCTATGAGTTGAATGCACACATCACAAAGCAGTTTCTCAAAAAACTTATTTGTAGTTTTTAACTGAAGACATTGCTTTTTTCACCATAGGTCTCTCTGTGCTCCCAAATATAGCTTTGCAGACTCTACAGAAACAGTGATTCCAAACTCCTCAATCAAAAGAGAGTTTTAACTCTGGGTGATGAATGCACACGTCAGAAAGTAGTTTCTCACATAGCTTCTGTCAAAGTCTTCTCTCAAGATGTTTCTTTTACCACCATAGGCCTCAAAGCACTCTGAAATATCACTACACAGATTCTATAAAAACAGTGTTTCCAAACTCTTCCATAAAGAGAAAGATTTAATCAGTGAAATGAATGCACACATCAGAAACCAGTTGCTCATAAAGCTTCTTTCTAGTTTCCATCTGAAGATATTTCCTTGTTCACCATAGGCCGTTATGCACTAAATAACATTGCTTTGCAGATTATACAAAAACAGTGTTTCCAAACTGCTCTGTCATAAAAAAAGGTTTAACTCTGTGAGATGAATGCATACATCATAAAGCAGTTTCTGAAAAATCTTCTTTCTAGTTTTTATCTGAAGATTTTTCCTTTTTCCCCATAGGCATCAGTATGCTTCCAAATATCCCTTTGCAGATTCTACAAAAATAGTGTTTCCAAACTGCTCCATCAAAAGAAACCTTTAACTCTGTGAGAGGGATGCACACATCACAAAGTGGTTTCTCAGAAAGTTTCTTTCTAGTTTTTCCCTGAAGTTCTTTCCCTTTTCACCAGAGGCCTCATGCACTCCAAAATATCCCTTTGCATATTCTACAAAAACAATGTTTCCAAGCTGATGAATCAAAAGAAAGGTTTAACTCTGTGAGATAAATCCTCACATAAGAAAAAGTTTCTCAGAAAGCTTCTGTCTAGTTCTTCTCTGAAGATATTTCCATTTCCACCATAGGCCTCAATGCGCTCCCAAATATCCCTTCACAGGTTCTACAAAAACAGTGTTTCCAAACTGTTCCATCAAAAGAAGGACTTAACTTGGTAAGATAAATGCACACATCAGAAAGCAGATTCTCACAATGCTTCTTTCCCGTTTTTATCCAATATTATTTCCTTTTTGACCATAGGCTTCAATGTGCTCCCAATTATCCCTTTGAAGATTCTACAAAAATAGTGTTTCCACCCACACAATCAAAAAACAGGGTTAACTCTGTTTGTTGAATGCACACGTCCCAAATCAGTTTCTCAAAAACTTCTTTCTAGATTTTATTTGAAGATATTTCCTTTTTCTCCATAGTCCTCAATGCGCCCTCAAATATCCCTTCACAGATTCTACAAAAACAGTGCTTCACAAATGTTCCATCAAAAGAAGGATTTGACTCTGTGACATGAATGCACACATCCTAAAACAGTTTCTCTTAATGCTTCTTTCCAGTTTTTATCTGAAGATACTCCCTTGTTCACCATAGGCCTCTTTATGCTACATAATATCACTTTGCAGATTACACCAAAATGGTGTTTTCAAACTGCTCAGTCAGAAGAAAAGTTTAACTCCATGAGATGAATGCATACATCACAAAGCAGTTTCTCAAACGTTTTCTTGCTCCTCTTTATCTGAAGATATTTCCTTTTTCACCATAGTCACCAGTGCACTCCCAAATATCCATCAGCAGATTCTACAGAAATAGCTTTTCCAGACTACTCAATCAAAAGAAACATTTAAATCTGTGAGATGAATGCACACATTGAAAGCAGTTTCTCTGAGAGCTTCTTTCTAGTTTTTATCTGAAGTTATTTCCTTTTTCACCATAGGCCACGTCTGCTTCCAAATATCCATTTGCACATTCCACAAAAATAGTGTTTCCAAACTGATCAACTGAAAGAAAGGTTTAACTCTGTGAGATGGATGCACACATCACAAAGCAGTTTCTCAAAACTTCTTTCTAGTTTTTTCTGAAGATATTTCCTTTTTCAGCATAGTCTTCAATGTGCTCCTAAATAACCCTTTGCAGATTCTGAAAAACGTGTTTTTGAACTGTTCCATCAAAACAAGGATTTAACCCAGTGACATGAATGCAAACTTCACAAAGCAGTTTCTCATAACACTTCTTTCCAGTATTTATCTGAAGATATTTCCTTTTTCAGCATAGTCCTCAGCGTGCTCCTAAATAACCCTTTGCAGATTCTGAAAAAAGTATGTTTGAACTGTTCCATCCAAATAAGGATTTAACCCAGTGACATGAATGCAAACTTCACAAAGCAGTTTCTCATAATGCTTCTTTCCAGTATTTATCTGAAGATATTTCCTTGTTCAACATAGGACTTTTTGCACTAAATAACATCACTTGGCAGATAACAAAAACACTGTTTCCAAACTTCTCAGTCAAAAGAAAGGTTTATGACTGTGAGACAAATGCACCCATCACAAAGCAGTTCCTCAAAAAGTTTCTTTCGTTTTGTATCTGAAGTTATTTCCTTTATCACCATAGGCTTCCACTCACTCCTAAATGTCCCTTTGCACATTCTACAAAAACAGTGTTTCCAAACTTCTCAATCAAAAAACAGGTTAAACTCTTTGAGTTGAATGCACACATCACAAAGCATTTCTCAGAAGGCTTCTTTCTTGATTTTATGTGAAGATATTTCCTTTTTCACCATAGGCCTCAGTGTGCTCCCAAATATACCTTTGCAGATTCTACAAAAACAGCATTAACAAACTGCTCATTCAAATGAAACGTTTAACTGTGTGAGAAGAATGCACACATCACAAAGCAGTTTCTCAGAAAGCTTCTCTCTAGTTTTTAATCTCAAGATATTTCCTTTTTCAACCCAGGCCTCAATGCACCCAAAAGTATCCCTGCCCTCAAAAATATCCTTTGGTAGATTCTACAAAAACAGTGTTTCCAAACTTCTCAGTGAAAAGAAAGGTTTAACACACTGAAATGAGGGAACACATCAGAAAGCAGGTTCTCAGATTGCTTCTTTATAGTATTTATCAGAAGATATTTCCTTTTCCACCTTAGGTCTCAATCCACTCCAAAATATCACTTTGCAGATTCTACCACAACAGTGCTTCCACCTGCTCAATCAAAAGAAAGCCTTAACTCTCAGAGATGAATGCACACCTCACAAAGAGGTTTCTCAGAAAGGTTGTTATTTGTTCTTATCTGAAGATATTTCCTTTTTCACCATAGGCTTCAATGTGTTGACAAATATCCCATCAGAGATTCTAGAAAAACAGTGTTTCCAAACTGCTCAATCGAAAGAAAGCTTTAAATCTGTGAGATGAATGCAAATATCACAAAGAAGTTTCTCAGAAAACTTCTTTAAATTTCTTCTCTGATAATATTTCCTATTACACCATAGGCCTCAATAGAATAAAAAATATCCCTTTGCAGATTCTACATATACAATGTTTCCAAACTGTGCCATCAAAAGGACTTAACTCTCTGAGATGAATGAACACATCTGAAAGCAGTTTGTCACTTTCTTTCCAGTTTTTATGTGAAGATATTTCTTTTTCACCATAGGCTTTTTGAGCTACATAATTTCGCTTTGCATAATATATAAAAACAGTGTTTCCATACTGCTCAATCGAAAAAGACTTTTACCTCTGTGAGTTCAATGCAGACATCACAAAGTACTTTCTCAAAAAGCTTATTTCTGTTTTTTTCTGAAGATATTTCCTTTTTTACCATAGGCCTCAGTACTATCCCAAATATACCTCTGCAGATTCTACAAAAACAGTGTTTCCAAACTGCTCATTAAAAGAAATGTCTAAATTTGAGGGATGGATACACACATCACAAAGCAGTTTCTCAGATAGCTTCTGTCTAGTTCTTCTCTGAAGATATTTCCTTTTCCACCACAGGCCTCTATGCGCTCCCAAATATCCCTTTGCATTTTTTTTATAAAAACAGCATTTCCGAACTGTTCCATCAAAAAGATTTAACTCAGTGAGATGAATGCACACCTCAGAAAGCAGTTTCTCATAAGTCTACTTTCCAGAAGATATTTCCTTGTTCACCTTAGGCCTTTTTCTGCTCCCTAACATTGCTTCACAGATAATACAAATACTGTGTTTCAAAACTGCTCAATCAAAACAAAAGTTTAACACTGTGAGATGAATGCATACATCAGAAAGCTGTTTCTCAAAAAGCTTCTTTCTAGTTTTTATCCAAAGATATTTCCTTTTTCACTATAGGAATCAGTGCACTACAAAATATCCCTTTATGGATTATACATAACCAGTGTTTCCAAACTGCTCAATGAAAAGAAACATTTATCTCTGTGAGAAGAAGTCACACATCCAAAAGAGGTTTCTCAGAAAGCTTCTTTTAAGTTTTTATCAGAAGTTATTTTCTTTTTCACCATAGGCCTCGTGAGTTCCCAAATATCCATTCGCAGTTTGTACAAAAACACTGTTTCCAAACTGATCATTCAAAAGATAGGTTTACCTCTGTGAGATGAATGCAAACATCACAAAAAAGTTTCTCAAAATACTTCTTTCTAGTTTATATCTGAATATATTTCCTTTTTCATCATAGGCCTAAATGTGCTTCTAAATATCCTTTCACACATTCTCCAAAAACAATATTTCCAAACTGATCAATCAAAAGAAACATTTAAATCTGTGAGAAGAATGCACACATCACAAAGTGGTTTCTCAAAAGGCTTCTTTGTAGTTTTTATCCAAAGTTATTTCCTATTTCCCCCAGGCCTCTGTGCACTCCCAAATACCTCTTCGCAGATTCTACCAAAACGGTGTTTCCAAACTGGTTCACCAAAGAAAGGTTTAACTCTGTGAGATGAATGCACGCATGTCAAAATAGTTTCTCAGAATGCAACTTTCTAGTTTTTACTTGGAGTTATTTCCTTTTTCTCCATTGGCCTCAATTCACTCCCAAATGACCCTTCACAGATCCTGCTGAAAGGCTGTTTCCAAATGGCACCATCAAAGGAAAGATTTAACACTGTGAAATGAATGTCCACATCACAAATCAGTGCCTCAGAAAGCTGCTTTCCAGTTTTTTTTTTTGAAGATATTTCCTGTTTCACCATAGGCCTTTTTGCACTACCAATCATCACTTCCCATATTATACAAAAACAGTATTTCCAAACTGCTCATTCAACAGAAAGTTTTAACTCTGTGAGATGAATGTACACATCACAAAGCAGTTTCTCAGAAAGCTTCTTTCTAGTTTTTATCTGAAGATATTTCCTTTAACAGCATAGGCCTCAATGTCCTCCCAAATATCCCTTCACAAATTCCTCAAAAACAGTCTTTCCAAACTGATCAATCAAAAGAAAGGTTTAACTTTGTGAGATGAATGCACTCATGACTAAGCAGTTTCTCAGAAAGCTTCTTTCTAGTTTTTATCAGAAGATATTTCCTTTTTCACCATAATTCTCAGTGCACTCCCAAATATTCCTTCGCAGATTCTACAAAAACAGTGTTTGCAGTCTGCTCAATCAAAAGAAAGGTTTAACTCTGTGAGATAAATGCACACATCACAAAGCAGTTTCTCAGAAACTTTCTTTGTAGTTTTTACTTGATGATATTTCCCTTTTCAGAGTGGGCCTCAATGCGCTCCCAAATATCCCTTTGCAGATTCTACAAAAACAGTGTTTCCAAACTGCTCAATCAAAAGAGAGGTTTACCTCTGTGAGATGTATGTACACATCACTAAGCAGTATCTCAGAAAAACTTTTGTAGTTTTTATTTGAAGGTATTTCCTTTTTCTCCATAGGCCTCAATGAGCTCTCAAATATCCCTTCACAGATTCTACAAAAACAGTGTTTCCAAACTGTTCAATCAAAAGAAATGTTTAACTCTGTGCGATTTAAACACCATAGGCATTGAAGGGCTCAAAAATATCCCTTTGCAGATACTACAAAAACAATGTTTCCAATCTGCTCAATCAAGTAAAAGCTTTAATTCTGTGAGATGAATGCTCACATCACAAAGCAGTTTCTCAGAAATCTTTTTTCTAGTTTTTATCTGTAGATATTTCCTTTTTCAGCATAGGCCTCCATTTGCTCCCAAATATTCCTTCACAGATTCTTCAAAAGGAGTGTTTCCAAACTTCTCAATCAAAAGAAAGATTTGACTCTGTGATATAAATGCACACTTAACAAAGCATTGTCTTAGAAACGTTCTTTCTAGTTTTTACCTGAACACATTAACATTTTCACCATAGGCCTCAATGCGTTCCCTAATATCTCTTCACAGATCTACAAAAACACTGTTTCCAAACTCCTAAATCAAAGAAAGTTTTACATCTGTGAGGGGAAGACACACATCACAGAGAAGTTTGCAGAAAGCTTCTTTCTAATTTTTATCTGAAGATATTTCCTTTCTCAGCACAGGCCTCAGTGTGCTCTCATATCCCTTCATAGAATCTACAAAAACACTATTTCAAAACTGCTAAACCAAAAGAAAGTTTTATCGCTGTGAAATGAATGCAAACATCACAAAGCAGTTTCTCCTAATGCTTCTTTTTAGTTTTTATCTGAATGTATTTCCTTTTCCACCGTAGGCCTTGATGCCCTCCCAAATATACCTTTGCAGATTCTACAAAAACAGAGATTCTAAACTGCTCAATTACAAGAAAGGTTTATAATTGTGAGCTGAATGCACACATCACAAAGCCATGTCTCAGAATCTTTCTAATTTTTGTCTGAAGCTATTTCCTTTTTCCACATAGGCCTCAAAGCACTGCAAAATATCCCTTTGCAGATGGTACAAAGACAGTTTTTCCAAACTGCTTCATCAAAAGAAAGGTTTAACTGTAGGAGATGAATGCACTCCTCCCAAAGCAGTTTCTCAGAAAACTTCTGTCTTGTTTTTAACTGAAGACATTTCTTTTTTCAACATAGGCCTCAAATCACTCCCCTTTGCAGATTCTACAAAAACAGTGTTTCCAAGCTGCTCATTCAAAAGAATGTTTTAATGCTGTGAGATGAATGCAGACATCACAAAGTAGCTTCTCTGAAACCCTCTCTCTAGTTTTTCTCTGAAGATATTTCGTTTTTCACCTTGGCCTCAATGTGCTTCCTACTATCCCTTCACAGACACTACAAAGATAGTGTTTCCAAACTGCTCAGTCAAATGAAAGTTTTGACTCTGAGAGACTAATGCACACATCACAAAACAGTTTCTCAGAACACTTATTTCTAGTATTTATCCGAAGATTTTTCACCATAGGTGTCAATGTGCTCCAAAATATCCCTTTGCAGATTCTATAAAAACAGATTCCAAACTGCTCAATCAAAAGGAAAGTTTACATCTTGAAATGAGTGCACACACAACAAAGCCGTGTCTCAGAAGCCTTCTTTCTAGTTTTTACCTGATGATATTACCTTTTTCATCAAAGGTCTAAATATGCTCCCAAATATCCCTTTGCAGATTCTACAAAACCAGTGTTTTCAAGCTGCTCTTTAAAAAGAAAGGTTTAATTCTATGAGACCAATGGACACATCACAAAGCAGTTTCTCAGAAATATTCTTTCTAGTTTTGATCTGAAGATATTTCCTTTTTTTCTGTTGGCCTCAAAGCACTCTGAAATATCCCTTCACAATTTCTAACAAAACAGTTTTTCCAAAGTGCTGAATCAAAAAAAGCTTTAATTCTGTGAGATGAATTCACACATCACAAAGCAGTTTCTCAGAAATCTTCTATCTAGTTTTTATATGAGGGTATTTTATTTTTCACCATAGGCCTAATTACATTCCCAAATCTCCCTTCACAGATTCTACAAAAACAGTGTTTACAAAATGCTCAATGAAAAGAAAGTTTTGACTCTGTGACATGAATGCACACATCACAGAGCAGTTTCTCAGAAATATTTTTTGTTTTTATCTGGATATTTCCTTTTTCACCATAGGACTTAATGATCTCCCAATTATCCCTTCTCTGATTCTACAAAAACAGTGTTTCCAAACTGCTCAATCGAAAGAAAGGTTTACATCTGTGAGATGAATGCGCACAGCACAAAGCTGTGTCTCAGAACCTTTCTTTCTATTTTTTAGCTGAAGATATCTCCTTTTTCACCATACACCTCAAAGTGTTCCAAAATATCCCTTTGCAGAATCTACAAAAAATGTGTGTCAAAACTGTTCAATGAAAAGAGGGATTTAACTCGGTGTGTTGTATGCACACATCTCAAATCAGTATCTCAGAAAATTTCTATGTATTTATTTGAAGATATTTCCTTTTTCATCATAGTCCTCAACGAGCTCCCAAATATCCCTTCAGAGATTCTACAAAAACAGTGTTTACAAACTGCTCAATCCAATGAAAGGTTTAACTCTGTGAGATAAATGCACACATCACAAAGCAGTGTCTCAGAATGGTTCTTTCTGTTTTTTTATCTGAAGGTATTTTCTTTTTCACCATAGGCCCCAAATCCTTCCAAATATGCCTTCCCAGATTCTACAAAAACAGTGTTCCCAAAATACTCAATCAAAAGGAAGGTTTAACTGGGTGTGATGCATGCACACATCAAACATAGGTGTCTCTGAAAGCTTCTTTCTAGTTTTTATCTGCAGATATTTCCTTTTTCAGCCTAGGACTGAATGCACTCCCAAATATCCCTTCGCAGTTTCTACAAAACTGCTCAATCAAAAGTATGGTTTACATCTTTGAGAAAAACGTACACATCACAGAGCAGTTTCTCAGAAAGACTCAATCTAGTTGTTATCTGAAGATATTTCCTTTTCACCATAGGCCTCAAAGTGCTGCCAAATATCTTTTCCCAGATTCTACAAAAACAGTGTTTACAAGCTGCTCAATCAAAAGAAAGGTTTAACTCTGTGAATTGAATACTCACATCACAAAGCAGTTTCTCTGAAACCTTCTTTGTAGTTTTTATCTGAATGTATTTCCTTTTTCAGCCTAGGTCTCAAAGTGCTCTGAAACATCCCTTTGCCGATTCTACAAAAACAGTGTTTCAAAACTGCTCAATCAAAAGACAGGTTTAACTCTGTGAGATGAATCTACACATCATGAAGCAGTGTCTCAGAAACATTCTTTGTAGTTTTTACCTGAAGATATTAACATTTTTAGCATAGGCCTCAATGTTCTTCCTAATATCTCTGCGCAGTTTCCACAAAAACAGCGTTTTCAAACTTCTCAACCAAAATAAAGGTTTACAGCTGTTGGATGATGGCACACATGAAAAACCAGTTTCTCAGAAAGCTTCTGTCTAATTTTCATCAGAAGATTTTTCCTTTTTTATCCTAGGCTTCAATGAGCTCCCAAATATCCCTTCACAGATTATACAAAAACAGTGTTTCCACACTGCTCAATCAAAAACATGGTTTTACTTAAGTCTTTAATCCATCTTGAATTATTTTTTGTATAAGGTGTAAGGAAGGGATCCAGCTTCAGCTTTCTACATATGGCTAGCCAGTTTTCCCAGCACCATTTATTTAATAGGGACACCTTTCCCCATCGTTTGTTTTTCTCAGTTTTGTGAAAGATCAGATAGTTGTAGATATGAAGCATTATTTCTGAGGGCTCTGTTCTGTTCCATTGGTCTATATCTCTGTTTTGGTGCCAGTACCATGTTGTTTTGGTTACTGTAGCCTTGTAGTATAATTTGAAGTCAGGTAACGTGTTGCCTCCAGCTTTGTTCTTTTGGCTTAGCATTGAATTGGCAATGCGGGCTCTTTTTTGGTTCCATATGAACTTTAAAGTAGTTTTTTCCAATTCTGTGAAGAAAGTCATTGGTAGCTTGATGGGGATGGCATTGAATCTATAAATTACCTTGGGAAGTATAGCCATTTTCACGATATTGATTCTTCCTGCCCATGAGCATGGAATGTTCTTCCATTTGTTTGTATCTTCTTTTATTTTGTTGAACAGCGGTTTGTAGTTCTCCTTGAAGAGGTCCTTCAATCCCTTGTAAGTTGGATTCCTAGGTATTTTATTCTCTTTGAAGCAATTGTGAAAGGGAGTTCACTCATGATTTGGCTCTCTGTTTGTCTGTTATTGGTGTGTAAGAAAGCTTGCGATTTTTGCACATTGATTTTGTATCCTGAGACTTTGCTGAAGTTGCTTGTCAGCTTGAGGAGATTTTGGGCTGAGACGATGGGGTTTTCTAGATATACAGTCATGTCATCTGCAAACAGGGACCATTTGACTTCCTGTCTTCCTAACTGAATACCCTTTATTTCCTTCTCCTGCCTGATTGCCCTGATTAGAACCTCCAACACTATGTTGAATAGGAGTGGTGAGAGAGGGCATCCCTCTCTTGTGCCGGTTTTCAAAGGGAATGCTTCCAGCTTTTGCCCATTCGATATGATATTTGCTGTGGGTTTGTCATAGAGAACTCTTATTATTTTTAGATATGTCACATCAATACCTAATTTATTGAGAGTTTTTAGCATGAAGGATTGTTAAATTTTGTCAAAGACCTTTTCTGCATCTATTGAGATAATCACTGTTTTTGTCTTTGTTTCTGTTTATATGCTGGATTACATTTATTGATTTATGTATGTTGAACCAGCCTTGCATCCCAGGGATGAAGCCCACTTGATCATGGTGGATAAGCTTATTGATCTGTTGCTGGATTCCGTTTGCCAGTATTTTATTAAATATTTTTGCATCAATGTTCATCAAGGATATTGGTCTAAAATTCTCTTTTATTGTTGTGTCTCTGCCAGGCTTTGGTATCAGGATGATGTTGGCCTTATAAAATGAGTTAGGGAGGATTCCCTCTTTTTCTGTTGATTGGAATAGTTTCAGAAGGATTGGTACCAGCTCCTCCTTGTACCTCTGGTAGAATTCGGCAGTGAATCTATCAGGTCCTGGACTTTTTTTGGTTCATAAGCTATTAATTATTGCCTCAAATTCAGAGCCTGTTATTGGTCTATTCAGAGATTCAACTTCTTCCTGGTTTAGTATTGGGAGGGTGTATGTGTTGAGGAATTTATCCATTTCTTCTAGATCTTCTAGTTTATTTGCATAGAGGTGTTTATAGTATCCTCTAATGGTAGTTAATATTTATGTGGGATTGGTGGTGATATCCCCCTTATCATTTTTTATTGCATCTATTTGATTCCTCTCTCTTCATTATTCTTGCTAGTGGTCTATCAATTTTGTTGCTCTTTTCAAAAAACCAGCTCCTGGATTAATTGATTTTTTGAAGGGTTTTTTGTGTCCTATTTCCTTCAGTTCTGCTCTGATCTTAGTTATTTCTTGCCTTCTGCTAGCTTTCGAATGTGTTTGCTCTTGCTTCTCTAGCTCTTTTAATTGTGATGTCCAGGTGTCAATTTTAGATCTTTCCTGCTTTCTCTTGTGGTCATTTAGTGCTATAAATTTCCCTCTTCACACTGCTTTAAATGTGTCCCAGAGATTCTGGTATGTTGTGTCTTTGTTCTCGTTGGTTTCAAAGAACATATTTATTTCTGCCTTTATTTCATTATGCACCCATTAGTCATTCAGGAGCAGGTTGTTCAATTTCCATGTAGTTGAGCAGTTTCAAGTGAGTTTCTTAATCCTGAGTTCTAGTTTGATTGCGCTGTGGTCTGAGAGATAGTTTGTTATCATCTCTGTTCTTTTACATTTGCTGAGGAGTGCTTTACGTCCAACTATATGGTCAATTTTGGAATAAGTGTGGTGTGGTGCTGAAAAAAATGTATATTCTGTTGATTTGGGGTGGAGAGTTCTGTAGATGTCTATTAGGTCCTTTTTGTGCAGAGCTGAGTTCAATTCCTGGATATCCTTGCTAACTTTCTGTCTCATTGATCTGTCTAATGCTGACAGTGGGGTGTTAAAGTCTCCCATTATTATTGTGTGGGAGTCTAAGTCTCTTTGTAGGTCACTAAGGACTTGTTTTATGAATCTGGGTGCTCCTGTATTGGATGCATATATATTTAGGATAGTTAGCTCTTCTTGTTGAATTGATCCCTTTACCATTATGTAATGGCCTTCTTAGTCTCTTTTGATCTTTGTTGGTTTAAAGTCTGTTTTATCAGAGACTAGGATTGCAACCCCTGCCTTTAATGTTTTCCATTTGCTTGGGAGATCTTCCTCCATCCCTTTATTTTGAGCCTATGTGTGTCTCTGCACATGAGATTGGTCTCATGAATACAGGACACTGATGAGACTTGACTCTTTATCCAATTTGTCAATCTGTGTCTTTTAATTGGAGCACTTAGCCCATTTACATTTAAAGTTAATATTGTTATGTGTGAATTTGATCCTGTCATTATGATGTTAGGTAGTTATTTTGCTCGTTAGTTGATGCAGTTTCTTTCTATCATCGATGGCCTTTACAATTTGGCATGTTTTTGCAGTTGCTGGTACTGGTTGTTCCTTTCCATGTTTAGTGCTTCCTTCAGGAGCTCTTGTAGGGCAGGCCTCGTGGTGACAAAATCTCTCAGCATTTGCTTGTCTGTAAAGGACTTTATTTCTCCTTCACTTATGAAGCTTAGTTTGGCTGGATATGAAATTCTGGGTTGAAAATTCTTTTCTTTAAGAATGTTGAATATTGGGCCCCCCTCTCTTCTGGTTTGTAGAGTTTCTGCTGAGAGATCAGCTGTTAGTCTGATGGGCTTCCCTTTGTGCGTATCCAGACCTTTCTCTCTGGCTGTCCTTAACATTTTTTCCTTCATTTCAACTTTGGTGAATCTGACAATTACGTGCCTTGGAGTTTCTCTTCTTGAGGAGTATCTTTGTGGACTTCTCTGTATTTTCTGAATTTGAATGTTGGCCTGCCTTGCTAGGTTGGGGAAGTTCTCCTGGATAATATCCTGCAGAGTGTTTTCCAACTTGTTTCTATTCTCCCCGTCACTTTCAGGTACAGCAATCACACGTAGATTTTGTCTTTTCACGTAATCCCATATTTCTTGGAGGCTTCTTTCATTTCTTTTTACCCTTTTTTCTCTAAAATTATCTTCTCGCTTCATTTGATTCATTTGATCTTCCATCACTGTTACCCTTTCTTCCAGTTGATCAAATCAGCTACTGAAGCTTGTGCATTCATCACGTAGTTCTTGTGCCATTGTTTTCAGCTCCATCAGGTCATTTAAGGACTTTTCTACACTGGTTATTCTAGTTAGCTCTTGGTCTTATTTTTTTCAAGGTTTTTAGCTTCTTTCCAATGTGTTCAAACTTCCTCCTTTCGATCACAGAAGTTTGATCATCTGAAGCTTTCTTCTCTCAACTTCTCAAAGTCATTCTCTGTCCAGCTTGTTCTCTTGCTGGCGAGGAGCTGCGTTCCTTTGCAAGGGGAGAGGCACTCTGATGTTTAGAATTTTCAGCTTTTCTGCTGTTTTTTTCCCCATCTTTGTGGTTTTATCTACCTTTGGTCTTTGATGATAGTGACGTACAGTTGGGTTTTGGTGTGGATGTGCTTTCTTTTTGTTAGTTTTCCTTCTAACCGTCAGGAACCTCAGCTGCAGGTCTGCTGAATTTTGCTGGAGGTCCATTCCAGACCTGTTTGCCTGGGTATCAGCAGCAGAGGCTGCAGAACTGCGATTATTGCTGAACAGCACATTTTGCTGCCTGATCATTCCTCTGGAAGCTTCATCTCAGAGGAGTACCCGGCCATGTGAGCAGCCAGTCTGCCTCTACTGGAGGGTGCCTCTCAGTCTACTCAGGGGTCAGGGACCCACTTGAGGAGGCAGTCTGTCAATTCTCAGATCTCAAATGCCATGCTGGGAGAACCACAGCTCTCTTCAAAGCTGTCAGACAGGGACTTTTAAGTCTGCAGAAGTTTCTGCTGTCTTTTGTTCGGCTATGCCCTGCCCCCAGAGGTGGAGTCTCTAAAGACAGGCAGGCCTCCTTGAGCTGCGGTGGGCTCCACTGAGATCGAGCTTCTCAGATGCTTTGTTTACATACTCAAGCCTTAGCAATTGCAGGCACCCCACTCCCAGCCTTGCTGCCACCTTGAAGTTCGAACTCAGACTGATGTGCTAACAATAAGCAAGACTCTGTGGGCTTGGGACCCTCTCAGCCATATGCGGGATATAACCTCCTGGTGTGCCATTTGCTAAGACCATTGGAAAAGCACAGTATTAGGGTTAGAGTTACCCAATTTTCCAGGTGCTGTCTGTCACCACTTCCCTTTGTCCTTAATGAGCTTGAAAATATCCATTTGCAGAATGAAGAAAAACAGTGTTTCCAAACTGCTGAATGAAAAGAAGGTTTAACTCTGTGAGATGAATGTGCACATCACAAAACAGTTTTGTGATGGACAAAACTAGTTTTTATCTGAAGATATTTTATTTTTAACCATAGGCCCCAATGCGTCCAAAATATCTCTTTGCAGATACTACAAAAACACTTTTTCCAAAATGGTGAAGGAGATGAAATGTTTAAATCTGCAAGATGAATGCAGACATCACAAGCCAGTTTCTCAGATAGTTTCCTTCTCGTTTTTATTGTTGGATAGTCGTTTTCCCCTTTGGCCTAATTAGCCTCCAAATGCCCATTAGCAAAGTGGACAAAAACAGTGTTTCCAAACTGATGAATCCACAGAAAGGTTTAATTCTGTGAGATTAATGCACACACCACAAAGCAGTTACTCAGAAAGCTTCTTTCCAGTTTTTACCTGAAGATAATTTCTTTTTCACCATAGGCCTGAATGAGTTCCCAAATGTCAATTTGCAGATTCTACAAAAACAATGTTTCAAAACTGTTGAATTAAAAGAAAAATTTAACTCCTTGAGCTGAATGCACACATCACAAAGCATTTTCTCAGATAGCTTCCTTCTGGATTTTATCGTGGGATATTCTCTTTTTTGGCCATTGGCCTCAATGAGCTCCCAAATATCACTTCGCAGATCCTTCAAAAACAGTGTTTCCAAATTGCTGAATAAACATAATGTGTTAATTATGTGAGATGAATGAATACATCACAAAGTGGTTTCTCAGATAGCTTCCTCTTAATTTTTATCCTGAGTTTTTCAATTTTTCACCATTGGCCTCAATTCATTCCCAAATATCCCTTTGCAGATTCTAAAAAAACTTTGTTTACAAACTACTGTATCAAAAGAATGGTTTAACTCTGTGAGATGAATGCAGACCTCACAAACAAGTTTCTCAGATAGCATCCTTCTAGTTTTTATCGTGGGATATTCACTTTTTTGCCATTGGCCACAATGAGCTCTGAAATGTCCACTTGCAGAGTGGACAAAAAGAGTGCTTCCAAACTGATGAATTAAAAGAAAGGTGTACCTCTGTGAGATGGGTGAACATGTCACAAAGCGGTTTCTCAGAAAGTTTCTTACTCGTTTTTAATCTGAAAATATTTTCCTTTTCACAATAGGCCTCAATGAGCTCCCAAAAATCCCTTCGCAGATTATACAGAAACAGTATTTCCAAACTTTTGAATGAAAAGAAAGGTTATCTCTTCAAGAAGAATGCATACATCACAAAGCGGTGTCTCAGATAGCATCCTTCTTTTTTTATATTGGGATATTCGCTTTTTCGCCATTGGCATCAGTGAGCTCCCAAATGTCCATTTGTAGAATGAACAAAAACAGTGTTTCCAGACTGCTGAATGTAAAGAAAGTTTTAACTCTGAGAGATGAATGCACACATCACAAACCGTTTTCTCAGATATCTTCCTTCTAGTTTTTATCCTGGGATATTCACTTTTTCACCATTGTCTTCAATGAGCTTTCAAATGTCCATTCTCACAAAGGCCAAAAAAAGTGTTTCCATACTGCTGAATGAAAGGAAAGGTTTAACACTATGAGATGAATGCACACATCACAAAGCAGTTTCTCAGATAGCTTCCTCTTAGTTTTATAATGGGACTTTGGATTTTTCACCATTAGCCTCAATGAGCCCCCAAATGTCCATTCACAGAATGGACAAAAACAGTGTTTCCAAAATACTGAATGTAAAGAAGGTTTAACTCTGTGAGATGAAAGTCCACACCACAAAGTGGTTTCTCACATACATTCCATCTAGTTTTTACCAAGGAATATTAGCTTTTTTGCCATTGGCATAAAGGAGCTCCAAAATGTCCATTAACACAATGGAGAAAAATAGAGTTTCCAAAATGCTGAATCAAAAAAAGTATAACTCTTTGAGATGAATGCAAATATTGTGAAGCAGTTTCTCAGAAAGCTTCTTTCTAGTTTTTATCTGAAGATGTTTTCTTCACAATAGGCCTCAATGTGCTCCCAACTATCCTTTCACAGATTCTACAGAAACAGTGTTTCCAAACTGCTGAATGAAAAGAAAGGATTAACCTGTGAGATGAATTCACACATCACAAAGTGGTTTCTCAGATAGATTCCTTCTAGTTTTTATCAGGGGATAATCACTTTTTCTCCATTTGCCTCAAAGAACCCCTTAATGTCCATTTGCAGATTCTACAAAAACAGTGTTTCCAAACTCCTGAATGAAAAAGAATGACTCAACTCCTCAAGGTGAATAGATACATCACAAATTGGTTTCTCAGATGGCTTCCTTCATTTTTATCCTGGGATATTGGGTTTTTCACCATTAGCCTCAATGAGCTCCCAAATGTCCATTCTCAGAATGGACGAAAACTGTGTTTTCAAACTGCTGAATCAAAAGAAAGGTTTAACTCTGTGAGAAGAAAGCACACATCACAAAGTGGTTTCTCTTATAGCTTCCTCTTAGTTTTTATACTGGGACATTCGATTTTTGGCCATTGGCCTCAATGAGCTCCCAAATGTCCATTCGCAGAATGGAAAAAACAGTGTTTCCAAACTGCTGAATCAAAAGAATGGTTTAACTCTGTGAGATGAATGGACACAACACGAAGCAATATCCAGGAATGCTTCTTTCCTGTTTTCCTCTGAAGATATTTTCTTTTTCACCATAGACCTCAATGAGCTCCCAATATCCTTTCACAGAATGGAAAAAAACAGCATTTCCAAACTGCTGAATCAAAAGAAAGGTTTAACTGTATGAGGTGAAGGTACACATCACAAAGCAGTTTCTCAAATAGATTCCTTGTAGTTTTTCCCTGGGATATTCCTTTTTTCACCATTGGCCACAATTTCCTCCCAAATGTCCATTTGCATAATGGACAAAAGCAGTGTTTCAAAACAGCTGAATCAAAATAAGGTGTTAACTCTGTGAGATGAATGTGTAAATAACAAAGCAGTTTCTCTGAAAGCTTCTTTCTACTTTTCATCTGAAGATATTTTTTTTCACCATAGGTCTCTATGCACCCCAAATACCCCTTCAGAGATTCTACAATAAAAGTGTTTCCAAACTCCTGAAGAAAAGAAAGGTTTACATCTAAGGTATGAATGCACACAGTAGAAAGCAGTCTCTCAGATAGCATCCTTCTAGTTTCTATCCTCCTATATTAGCTTTTTTGCAATTGGCCTCAATGAGGTCCCAGAAGTCCATTTGCAGAATGGACAAATACGGTTTTTCCAAACTACTGAATCAAAATAAATGTTTAACTGTCTGAGAAAAATGTACACGTCACAAAGTGGTTCCTTACATAACTTCTTTCTAGCTTTTATCGTAAGATATTTTCTTTTTCACCAGAGGCCTAAATGCACTACCAAATATCCCTTCACAGATTCTACAAAAACAGTTTTTTCAGTCTGGTAAATGAAAAGAAAATTTTAACTCTGTGAGTGAATGCACACATCACAAAGCAGTTTCTCAGATAGCTTCCCCTTAATTTTTATCTTGGGATATTCACTTTTTTGCAGTTGGTCTCAATGATCTCCCAAATGTCCATTTGCAGAATGAACAAAAACAGTGTTTCCAAACTGCTGAATCAAAAGAAAGATTTAGCTCTGTGATATGAATGCACACATCACAAAGCAGTTTCTTAGAAAGATTCTTTCTATTTCTAATCTGAATTTTTTTGTCACCATAGACCCCAATGTGATCCAAATATCCATTCACAGATTCTGCAAAAACAGTGTTTCCAAACTGCTGAATGAAAAGAAAGGTTTTACTCTGTGAGATGAATACAAAAAACACAAAGTGGATTCTTAGATTGCTTCCTTCTATTTTTTATCTTGGGATATTCAGTTTTTTTGCCGTTGGCCCCAATGAGCTCCCAATTATGCAGTCACATAGTGGTCAAAAAAAGTGTTTCCAAACTGCTGGATTAAAAGTAAGGTTTAACTCCGTGAGGCAAAAGTCGGCATCACAAAGCACTTTCTCAGAAACCTTCTTTCTAGTTTTTACCTGAAGATATTTTCTTTTTCACCATAGTCCTCAATGCACTCTCAAAAATCCCTTCACAGATTCCACAAAAACAGTGTTTCCAAATGCTAAGAGATGAATGCACACATCATAAAGCAGTTTCTCAGAGAGCCTCACTCTAGTTTTTTTCCTGGGATATTCACTTTCTTGTCATTGGCCTCAAATGAGCTCCCAAATGTCCATTCACACAAAGGCGAAGAACGGTGTTTCCAAACTGCTGTATCAAAAGAAAGGTCTAACTCTGCAAGATGAATGCACACATCACAAGCCGGTTTCTCAGATAGCTTTCTTCTAGTTTTTTTCCTGGGATATTCACTTTTTTGCCATTGACCTCAATGAGCTCCCAAACGTCCATTTGCAGAATGGACAAAAATAGTTGTTTCCATATTGCTGAATCAAAAGAAAGTTTTATCTCTGTGAGATGAAGGCACACATCACAAAGCAATTTCTCAGAAAGGTTCTTTCTAGTTTTTATTTGAAGATACTTTCATTTACTTCATTGGCCTCAATGCAATCCCAAATATAGCTTCACAGATTCTACAAAAACAGTGTTTCCAAACTGCTGAATGAAAAGAAGGTTAAACTCGGTGTCCCTAATGTCCATTCACAGAATGAAAAAAACAGTGCTTCCATACTGCTCAATCAAAAGAAAGTTTTAACTCTGTTAAAATTTTAAATTTGTTAAAACTTAACTGATGAACGAAAAGAAAGGTGTAACTCCGTGAGATGAATGCACACATCTCAAAGCAGTTTCTCAGATAGTTTCCTTGTAGTTTTTATCCTGGAATTTTCGCTGTTTCACCACTGGCCTCAATGAGCTCACAAATGTCCTTTCCTAGAATGGATAAAAACAGTGTTTCCAAAGTGCTGAATCAAAAGAAAGTGTTGACTCTGTGAAATGGATGCATACATTGCAAAGCAGTTTCTCAGAAAGCCTCTTTTCCATTTTTTTCAGAAGATATTTTCTTTTGCACCCTAGTCCTCAATGCCCTCTGATATGTCCTTTCACTGAAAGGATAAAACCAGTGCTTCCAAACTGTGGAATCAAAAGGAAGATTTAAATGTATGAGTGAATGGACACATCACAAAGCCATTTCTGAGATAGCATCCTTCTAGTTTTTATCCTGGGAAATTCACATTTTCACCTTCAGTCTCAATGAGCTCTCAAATGTTTATTTGCAGAATGGACAAACACAGAGTTTCCAAAGAACTGAATGAAAAGTGAGGTTTAACTGCAAGATGAATGCACATATCACAAAGTGATTCCACAGTTAGCTTCCTTTTAGTTGTTATCCTGGGATACTTGATTTTCACCACTGGCCTCAATTATCTCTCAAATGTCCATTCTCTGAATGGACAAAAATAGTGTTTGCAAAGTGCTGAATCAAAAGAAAGTTTTACTTCTGTGAGATGAATGCACACATCACAAGGGAATTTCCCAGAAAACTTCTTTCTAGTTTTTATCTGAAGTTATTTTCTTTTTCTCCATAGGCCTCAATCCACTGCCAAATACCCACTCACAGATTTTACAAAAACAGTGTTTCCAAACTGGTGAATGAAAAGAAATATTTAACTCTGTGAGATGGGTGCAAAAATCACAAAGCGGATTCTCAGATAGCTTCCTTGAGTTTTTATCCTGGGATATTGGATATTTTGCCTTTGGCCACAATGAGCTCCGAAATGTCTAGTCGCAGAGTGGTCAAAAACAGTGCTTACAAACTGATGAATGAAAAGAAAGGTGTAACTCTGTGGGATGGGTGCACACATCACAAAGCAGTTTCTCAGAAAGCTTCTTTCTGATTTCTTTCTGAAAACATTTCCCTTTTCACCATAGGCCTCAATGAGCTTCAAAATATCTCTTTGCAGATTCTACAAAAACAGTGTTTCCAAACTGCTGAATGGAAAGAAAGGTTTACCTCTGTGAGAAGAATGCACAAAACACAAAGTGGTTTCCCATATTGCATCATTCTTTTTTTTATCCTGGGATATTCACTTTTTTGCCATTGGCATCAATGACCTCCCAAATGTCCATTCACAGAATGAACAAAAATAGTGTTTCCAAGCTGCTTAATGAAAAGAAAGGCTTAATACTGAGAGATGAATGCACACATCCCAAACGTGGTTTCTTAGATAGCTTCATTCTAGTATTTTTCCTGGGATATTCACTTTTTTGTCATTGGCATCAATGAGCTCCCAATTTTCCAATCACACAAAGGAGAAGAACAGTTTTTCCAAACTGCTGTATCAAAAGAAAGGTTTAACTCTGTGAGATGAATGCACACATCACAAACCAGTTTCTCACGTAGATTTCTTCTAGACTTTTTCCTGGAATATTTGCTTTTTCACCATTGACCTCAATGAGCTCCCAAATGTCCATTTGCAGAATGGACAGAAACAATGTTTCCACAGTGCTGAATCAAAAGAAAGTTTTAACTCTGTGAGATGAATGCACACATCACAAAGCAGTTTCAGAGAAAGTTTCTTTCTACTTTGTATCTGAAGATGATTCCTTTTTCACCATAAGACTCAATGCACTCCCGAGTATCCCTTCACAGATTCTACAAAAACAGTGTATTCAAACAGCTCAATGAAAAGAAAGGTTTAACTCTGTGAGATGAACGCACACATCTCAAAGCAGTTTCTCATAAAGCTTCTCTCTAGTTTTTATGTGAATATATTTCCTTTTCCACCATATGACTCAATGGGCTCCCAAATTTCACTTTTAAGATTCCACAAAAACCGTGTTTCCAAACATCTCAATGAACAGAAAGGTTCAGTTCTGTGAGATGAATGCACACATCACAAAGCAGTTTCTCAGAAAGCTTCTTTCTAGTTTTTATGTGAAGATATTTCCATTTTCACCATAAGACTCAGTGGACTCCCAAATATCCCTTCACAGATTCTACAAAAACAGTGTTTCCATACTGCTCCATGAAAAGAAAGGTTTATCTTTTAGAGATAAATGCACACTTCACATAGCAGTTTCATGAAAAGTTTCTTTCTAGTTTTCTCTGAAGATATTTTTTTCAACATAGGCCTCAATGCCCTCCCAAATATACCTTCACAGATTTTACAAAAACGAGATCCCAAACTGCTCAATTATAAGAAAGGTTTAATACTGTGAGATTAATGCACACTTCACAAAACAGTTTCTCAAAAAGCATCTTTCCAGTTTTTTGTGAACATATCTCCTTTATCACCATAGGACTCAAAGCACTCCCAAATATCCCTTCACAGTTCCTATAAAAACAGTATTTTCAGACTGCTCAAGCAAAAGAAAGGTTTAACTGTGTCGAATGAATGCACACATCACAAAGCAGTTTCTCAGAAAGCTTTTATGTAGTTTTTATGTGAAGATATTTCCTTTATCACCATAAAACTCAATGTGCTCCAAAATATCCCTTTGCAGTTTCTACAAAAATAGTGCTTACAAACTGCTCAATCAAAGAAAGGTTTTACTCTGTGAGATGAATGAACACATCACAAAGCATTTTCTCAGAAAGCTTCTTTCTAGTTAGTATCTGAAGATAGTTGGTTTTACACCATAGACCTCAATGCACTCCCAAATTTCCCTTTGCAGATTCTACAAAAACCATCTTTCCAAACTGCTCAATCAAAAGAAAAGTTTAACTCTATGACATGAATTCACACCTTACAAAGCAGTTTTTCAGAAAGCTTCTTTAGTTTGTATCTGAATATACTGCCTTTCTACCCATGGGCCTCAATGAGCTCCCAAATATCCCTTCACATATTCTACAAAAAAAGTGTTTCTAAACTGCTCAATCAAAAGAAAGGTTTAACTCTATGAGATAAATGTCCACATTGCAAGGCAGTTTCAGAGAAAGCTTCTTTCTAGTTTTTATATGAAGATATTTCCTTTTTCACCATATGCCTCAAGGTGTTCCAAATATCCTTTTGCAGTTTTTTAAAAAACTGTGTTTCCAAACTGCTAAATCAAAAGGAAGTTTTAACTCTCTGAGATGAATGCTTACATCACAAACCAGTTTCTCAGAAAGCTTCTTTTTCTTTCATATCTTAAGATAATTTTTCCACCATCAGCCTTGATGCAGATGAACACACACAACTTAAAGCAGTTTCTCAAAAAGCTTCTTTGTAGTTTTTAACTAAAGATGTTTACTTTTTCACCATAAGACTCAAGGGGCACCCAAATATCCCTTTGCAGATTCTACAAAAACAGTGTTTCCAAACTGCCCCATCAAAAGAAAGTTTTATCTCTTTGAAATGAATGCACACGTCACAAAGCAGTTTCACAGAAACTTCTTTCTAGTTTTATCTGAAGATATTTTTTCACCACAGGCCTCAATGCCTTCCCAAATATCCCTTTGCAGATTGTACAAAAACAGAGATTCCAAACTGCTCAATCAAAAGAAATCATTAACTCTGTGAGAGGAATGCACATTTCCAAAGCAATTTCTCAGAAATTATCTTTATAGTTTTTATGTGAACATATTTATCACCACAGGACTCATTGTGCTCCCAAATATCTTTTAGCAGTCCTTACAAAAACAGTGTTTCCAAACTGCTCAATCAAAAGACTGCTTTAACTCTGTGAGATGAACACACACTTCTCAAAACAGTTTCTCAGAATGTTTCTTTCAAGTCTTTATGTGAAGATATTGCCTTTTCCCCGTAAGACTCAATGGGCTCCCAAATATCCCTTTGCAGATTCTACAAAAACAGTGTTTCCAAATGGCTCAATCAAAAGGAAGTTTTAACTCTGTGAGATGAATGCATGCATCACAAAGCTGTTTCTCAGAAAGCTTCTTTCTAGTTTTTATGTGAAGATGTTTCCTTTTTCACCATAAGACTCAATGTGTTCCCAACTATTCTTTTGCAGGTTCTACAAAGTCTTTCCGAACTGCTCAAAGTTTATCTCTGTGAGATGAATGCACATATCATAAAGCAGTTTCACAGAAAGTTTCTTTCTAGTTTGTATCTGGAGATATTTCCCTTTTTAACATAGGCCTCAATGCTCACCCAAATATCCCTGTTCAGATTCTACAAAAACACTGTTTGTGAATGCCTCAATGAAAAGAAAGGTTTAATTCTATAAGACGAATGCACACATCACAAAGCAGTCTATCAGAAAGCTTCTTTCTAGATTTTATGTGAAGATATTTCCTTTTCCACCATAGGTCTCAATGCACTACAAATATATTTTGCAGATTCTACAAAACAGGTGTTTCCAAATTGCTCAAGCAAAAGAAACGTTTAACTCTGTGAGATGCATGCACTCTTCACAAACAGTTTCTTCAGAAAATATCTTTCAAGTTCTTATTTGAACATATTTCCTTTATCACCATGGGACTCTATGCATTCCCAAATATCCCTTCGCAGTTTCTACAAAAACAGTGTTTCCAAGGTGCTACATCAAAAGAAAGTTTTATCTCTGTGAGATGAATGCACACATCTCAAAGCAGTTTCTCAGAAAGCTTCTTTATTAGTTTTTATGTGGAATTATTTCCTTTTCACCACATGCCTCATTGTGCTCCCAAATATCCCTTCACAGTTTGTAAAAAAAAAAGTGTTTCCATACTGCTCAATCAAAATAAAGGTTTAATTCTATGAGATGAATGCACGCAACACAAAGCAGTTTCTAAGAAAGCTGCTTTCTAGTTTTTATATGAAGATATATTCTTTTTCACCATTGGCCTCAATGGGCTCCAAAGATCCTTTTGCAGATGCTACAAAACCAGTGTTTACAAATTGCTCAATCAAAAAGAAGTTTTAACTCTGTGAGATGAATGCACTCATCATGAAGCAGCATCTCATAAAGCCTGTTTTTAGTTTATATCTGAAGATATATCATTTTTCACCATAGACCTAAATCTGCTCCCAAATATCCCTTTACAGTTTCTTCAAAAACAATGTTTCCAAACTGCTCAATCAAAAGAAAGTTTTAACTCTTTGAGATGAATGCACCCCTCATAAAGCAGTTTCAGAGAAAGCTCATTTCTAGTTTGTATATGAAGATATTTCCTTTATCACCATGGGCCTCAATGCGCTCCTAAATATCGCTTCTCAGATTCTGTAAAAACAGTGATCCCAAAACTCTCAATCAAAAGAGAAATTTAACTCTGTGAGATGAATTCACACACCACAAAGCAGTTTTTCAGAAAGCTTATTTCTTATTTTTATGTGAAGTTATTTTATTTTTCACAATAGGCCTCAAAGTACTCCAAATATCTTTCTGCAGATTCTACAAAAACAGTGTTTCCAAACTGCTCAATCAAAAGGAAGGTTTAACTCTGTGGAATGAATGCACTCATCACAAGCACATTCTCAGAAAAATTCTTGTAATTTATATCTGAAGATATTTCCTTTTTCACAACAGGCCTCAAAGCGAAACAAAATATCCCTTTGCAGATTCTACAAAAACAGAGTTTCCAAACTGCTCAATCAAAAGAAAGGTTTAACTCTGTGAGATGAATGCACACATCACAAAGCAGTTACTCAGAAGGCTTCTTTCTCTTTTTTATATGAACATAATTTCTTTTTTTAATTTTTATTTTATTATTATTATACTTTAAGATTTAGGGTACATGTGCATGATGTGCAGGTTTGTTACATATGTATACATGTGCCATGTTGGTGTGCTGCACCCATTAACTCATCATTTAGCATTAGGTATATCTCCTAATGTTATCCCTCCCCCATAATTTCTTTATCACCATAGAACTCAATGCGCTCCCAAATATGCCTTCACAGAGTCTACAAAAACAGTGTTTCCAATATGCTCAATAAAAATAAAGCTTTAAATGCATGAGATAAATGCACACATCACAAAGCAGTTTCTCAGAAAGCTTTTTTCTAGTTTTCATGTGAAGATATTTGCTTTTTCACCACTGACCTCAATGGGCTCCAAATATCCTTTTGCACATTCTACAAAAACAATGTTTCTTAACTGCTTAATCAACAGGAAGCTTTAACTCTTTGAGATGAATGCACTAATCGTAAACCAGTTTCTCAGAAAGCTTCTTTCCAGTTTTTATGTGAAGATATTTCCTTTTGCAAAATAGGCCTCAAAGCGGAAAAAAAAACCCTCGCAGATTCTACCAAAATGGTGTTTCTGAACTGCTCATTTAAAAAAAAAGGTTTAACTCTGTGAGATGAATGCAGACATCACAAAGCAGTTTCGGTGAAAGCTTCTTTCTATTTTGTATCTGAAGATATTTCCTTATTCACCATAGGCCTCAATGCACTCTCAAATATCCCTTCGCAGATTCTACAAAAACAGTGTATCCTTACTACTCAATCAAAAGAAAGGTTAAACTTTATGAGATAAAAGAAAACATCACAAAACAGTTTCTCAGAAAGCTTCTTTTTTGTTTATATCTGAAGATATTTCCTTTTTCACCATAGACTTCAAAGCACAAATATTCCTTCGCAGATACTACAAAAGCAGTGTTTCCAAAAGGATCAATCAAAAGAAAGGTTTAACTCTGTGAGATGAATGCACACATCTCATAGTAGTTTCAGAGAAAGCTTCTTTCTAGTTTGTATCTGGAGATATTCACACATCACAATACAGTTTCTCAGAAAACATCTTTCTAGTTTTTATGTGAAGGTATTTCATTCTTCACAATTAGCCTCAATGAGCTCCCAAATATCGTTTTGCAGATTCGAAAAAAAAAGTGTTTCCAAATTGCTCAATCAAAAGGAAGGTTTAATTCTGTGAGATGAAAGCACACATCACAAAGCAGTTCCTCAGTGAGTTTCTTTCTAGTTTGTATCCTAAGGTATTTCCTTTCTCACCATAGGGCTCAATGCACTCCCAAATATCCCTTTGCAGATTCCACAAAAACAGTGTTTCCAAACTGCTCAATCAAAAGAAAGGTTTAACTCTGTGAGATGAACTGCACATCGCAGAGCAGTTTCAGAGAAAGCTTCTTTCTAATTTGTATCTGAAGATATTTCCTTTTTCACCATGGGCCTCAAAACGTTCCAAAATATCTCCTCACAGATTCTACATAAAGAGTTTTCCAAAACTTCTCAGTGTAAAGAAAGGTTTAACTCTATGAGATGAATGCACACATCACTATGCAGTTTGTCAGAATGCTTCTTTCTAGTTGTTTATGTGAAGATATTTCCTTTTTCTCCATTGGCCTCAAGGTGCTCCCAAATGTCCTTTTGCAGATTCTGAAAAAACAGTGTTTCCAAATGGTTCAATCAAAAGAAAGTTTTAAATCTGTGAGATGAATGCACACATCACAAATAGTTTCTCAGAAAACTTCTTTCCATTTTCTTTGTGAATATATTTTCATTATTAACATGGGACTCAATGTGCTCCCAAATATGCCTTCGCAGTTTGTACAAAAACGGTGTGTCCAATCTGCTCAATCAAAAGAATGGTTTATCATTGTGAGAAGAATGCACACATCACAAAGCAGTTTCTCAGAATGCTTCTTTCTAGTTTGTATGTGAAGATATTTCATTTTTCACCATTGGCCTCAAAGCGCTCCCAAATATCCTTTTGCAGATTCTAAAAAAAAAAAAAAGTTTCCAAATTGCTCAATCAAAAGGAAGGTTTAACTCTGTGATATGAATGCAAACCTCACAAAGAAGTTTCTCAGAAAGTTTCTTTCTAGCTTGTATCTGAAGATATTTCCTTTTTCACAGTAAGCCTTAATGTGCTCCCAAATATCCCTCTGCAGATTATACAAAAACAGTGTTTCCAAGCTGCTGAATCAAAAGATAGGTTTACCTATGAGAGATGTATGCACACATCCAAAGCAGTTTCAGAGAAAGCTTCTTTCTAATTTGTGTTTGAAGATATTTCCTTTTTCACCATAGGTCTCAATGCACTCCCAAGTATCTCTTTGCAGATTCTACAAAAACAGTGTTTCCATACTGCTCAATCAAAAGAGAGGTTTAACTCTATGAGATGAATCTACACATCACAAAGCAGTTTCTCAGATACTTGCTTTCCAGTTTTTATGTGAAGATATTTTCTTTTTCACCATTGGCCTCATTGTGCTCCAAAGATCCTTTTGCAGATCCTACAAAAACACGTTTCCTAATTGCACAATCAAAATGAAGGTTTAACTCTGGGAGATGAATGCACTCATCACAAAGCAGTTTGTCACAAAGCTTCTTTCGAGTTTTTATGAGAAGATAATTCCTTTTTCACCATAGGTCCCAACGCACTCCCAAGTATACTTTTGCAGATTCTAAAAATAATTTGTTTCCAAATTGTTCAATCAAAAGGAAGGTTTAACTCTGTGAGATTCATGCATAAATCAGAAAGCAATTTTTCAGAAAGTTTCTTTCTAGTTTATGCCTGAAAATATTTCCTTCTTCACAATAGGCCTCAAAGCAAAACCAAATAAACCCACACAGATTTTACCATAACACTGTTTCCAAACTGCTGAATCTAAATAAAGGTTTACCTCTGTGAGATGAATGCACACATCACAAAGCAGTTTCAGTGAAAGCTTCCTTCAAGTTTCTTTCTGAAGACATTTCCTTTTTCACCATTGGCCCCAATATACTCCCAAATATCCCTCCCCAGATTTTACAAAAACAGTGTTTCCATGCTGCTCAATCAAAATAAAGCTTTAACTCTAAGAGATGAATGCAGACATCACAAAGCAGTTTCTAGGAAAGTTTCTTTTTTGTTTATATATGAATATATTTTCTATTTCACCATAGGCCTCAAAGCACAACACAATACCCCTTCACAGATTCTACAAAAATGGTGTTTCCAAACTGCTCAATCAAAAGAAAGTTTTAACTCTGTGACATGAATGCATACCTCACACAGCAGTTTCAGAGAAAGCTTCTTTCTAGTTTGTATCTGAAAATATTTCCTTTTTCACCATATGCCTCCAGGCACTCACAAATATCCTTTTGTGGAATCTGCAAAAACACTGTTTCCAAATTGCTCAATCAAAATAAAGCTTTAACTCTATAAGAGGAATGCATACATCACGAAGCAGTTTCTCAGAAAGCTTCTTTTTGATTGGATGTGGAGATATTTCCTTTTTCACCATAAGACTCAATGGCTCCCAAATATTCCCTTGCAGATTCTACAAAATAGTTTTTCCAAACTGCTCAATCGAAGTAAAGGTTGAACTCCATCTGATGAATGCATACATCACAAAGCAGGTTGTCAGAAAGTTTCTAGTTCTTAGGTGAAGATATTTCCTTTTTCAACATAAGACATAATGGGCTCCAAATTATCCCTTTGCAGATTCTATGAAAACAGTCTTTCCAAGTTGCTCAAAAAAAAGAAAGGTTTAACTCTGTGAGATGAATGCACACATCACAACGCAGTTTCTCAGAAAGCTTCTTTCTAATTTTTATGAGAAGATATTTCCTTTTTCACCATAGGACTCAATGTGCTCCAAATATCCTTTTGCAGATTTGACAAAAACAGTGTTTCCAAACTTCTCAATCAAAAGCAAGGTTTAACTCTGTGAGATGAATGCACTGATCACAAAGCAGTTTCTCAGAATGCTTATTTTTAGTTTATAACTGAAGATATTCACTTTTTCATCATAGTGCTCAAAGTGCAAAGAAATATACCTTCACAGATTCTACAAAAACAGTGTGCCAAACTGCTCAATGAAAGGAAATATTTAGCTATAAGAGATGAATACACACATAAAAAGCAGTCTCAGAGAAAGCTTGTTTCTTGTTTGTAACTGAAGTTATTTACTTTTTCAACATAGGCAACAATGTAATCCCAAATATCCCTTCACTGATTCTACAAAAACAGTGTTTCCAAACTGCTCAATCAAAAGTAAGATTCAGCTCTGTGAGATGAATGCACACATCACAAAGAAGTTTCTCAAAAAGCTTCTTTCTAGTTTTTATGTGAAGCTATTTCCTTTTTCACCATTGGCCTCAATGTGTTCCCAATATCCCTTCACAGATTCTATAAAAACAGTTTCCAAACTTTTCAGTCAAAAGGAAGGTTTAACTCTGTGAGATGAATGCACACTTGAAAAAGCAGTTTCTAAGCAATCGTCTTTCCAGTTTTTAAGTGAATATATTCTGTTTATCACTGTAGGACTCAATGTGCTCCCAAATATGCCTTCAAAGTTTCTACAAAAACAGTGTTTCTAAAGTGCTCAATCAAAAGAAAGGTTTAACTTAGTGAAGTGAATGAACACATCACAAAGCAGATTCTCAGAATGCTTCTTTCTAGTTTTTATGTGAAGATATTTATTTTTTCACCATAGGCCTCAAAGCGCAAACAAATATCCCTTCACAGTTTCTACCAAAGCAGTGTTTCCAAACTTCTCTGTCAAAGAAAAGTTTAACTCTATGAGATGAATGCACACATCTTAAAGCAGTTTGTCAGAAAGCTTATTTCCAGTTTTTATGTGAACATATTTCCTTTATCAATGCTGGACTCAATGCGCTCCCAAATATCCCACAGATTCTACAAAAATGGTATTTCAAAACTGCTCAATGAAAAAAGAAATATCATTTTTGCATATTCTACAAAAACAGAGTTCCCAAACTGCTCAATCAAAAGGAAGGTTTCACTCTGTGAGATGAATATTCTCATCACAAAACAGTTTCTCAGAAAGCTTCTTTCTAGTTTGTATCTGAAGATACTTTCTTTTTTGCCACAAGGCTCAATGGGATCCCAAATATCCCTTCACAGATTCCACAAAAACAGTGTTTCCAAACCGTTCTATGCAAAGAAAAGTTTACCTCTATGAGATGAATGCACATATCACAAAGCTGTTTCTCAGAAAGCTTCCTTCTAGTTTGTATCTGAAGATATTTTCTTTTTCACCATAGGCTCCAATGCACTCCAAGTTTCCTTTTGTAGATTCTACAAAAACCGTGATTTCAAATTCCTCAATCAAAAGAAAGGTTTAACTCTGTGAGATGAATCCACTCACTGGAAAGCAGTTTCTCAGAAAGCTTCTGTTTAGTTTATATTTGAAGATATTTCCTCTTTCAACATAGGCCTCAATGTACTCCAAAATATCCCTTTGCAGTTTCTACACAAACAGTGTTCCCAAACTTCTCAATCAAAAGAAAGTTTTAACTCTGTCTAATGAAGGCACACATCTTAAAGCAGTTCTTCAGAATTTTTTTTATGTGAAGATATTTCCTTTTTCACCATAATACTCAATGGCTCTGAATTTCCCTTTTCAGATCCTGCAAAAACAGTGCTTCCAAACGGCTCAATCAAAATGAAAGTTACCTCTGTGAGATGAATGCACACAATACAAAGCAGTATCTCAGAAAGCTTCTTCTAGTTTTTATGTGAAGATATTTCCTTTTTCACCATAGGCCTCCGTGCACTCCTAAATATCCCTTGGCAGATTCACCAAAATCGTGTTTCCATACTTCTCAATCAGAAGAATGGTTTAACTCTATGAGATGAATGCACACATCACAAAGGAGTTTCTCAGAATGTTTCTTTCTACTTTTTATGTGGAGATATTTCCTTTTTCATCATAAGACTCAATATCTCCCAAATATCCCCTTGCAGATACTAGAAAAATTGTTTTTCCAAACCGCTCAATCAAAAGGAATGTTTAACTCTGTGAGATGAATGCACTCATCACAAAGCAGTTTCTCAGAAAACTTCTTTCTAGTTTTTATGTGAAGATATTCCCTTTTTCAACATAAAACTCAATGGGCTCCCAAATATCTCTTAGCAGATTCTATAAAAACAATGTTTCCAAACTGCTCAATCAAAAGAAAGTTTTAACTCTTTGAGATGAATGCACACGTCATCAAGCAGCTTCTCAGAAAGTTTCTACTTTGTATATGAAGATATTTCCTTTTTCACCATAGGCCTCAATGTGCTCCCAAATATCCCTTTGCAGATTCTGCAAAAACAGTGTTTCCAAACTGCTTATTCAAAAGAAAGGTTTAACTATATGAGATGAATGCACACACCACAAAAAAGTTTCTCAGAAAAATTCTTTCTAGTTTGTATCTTAAGATATTTCCTTTTCCTCCCTATGCCTCAATGTTCTCTTTCCTTCCCAGATTCTGCAAAGACAGTGTTTCCAAACTACTCAATCAAAATAAAGGTTTACCTCTATGAGATGACTGCACATATAATAAAGCACTTACTCAGCAAGCTTCTGTCTTATTTTTAATTGAAGTTATTTTCTTTTTCTCCATAGGCTTCAATGCGCTTTCAAATATCCCTTAGCAGCTCCTGCACAAACAGTGTTTCCAAACAGTGAATGAAAAGAAATGTTTAACTCTGCCAGATGAATTACACAACACAAAGCAATTTCTCACATAGCTTCCTTCTCGTTTTTACCCTTAGGTAGTCCTTTTTTGCCATTGGCCTCAAGGAGTTCCAAAAGTCTATTTGTAGAATGGACAAAAAGAGTGTTTGCAAACTACTCAAACAAAAGACATGTTTAAGTCAGCAAGATGAAAGCACACATCTCAAAGAGGTTTCCCAGATAGCTTCCTTCCAGTTTTTATCCTAGGATATTCCTTTTTTCTACCTTGGCCTCAATGATGTCCAAAATGTTTATTTTCACAGTGGACTAAAACAGTATTTCCAAACTGCTGAATCAAAAGAAAGATTTAACTCTGTGAGATGAATGCACACATTGCAAAGTGATTTCTCAGTTTGCTTCTTTCTCATTTTTAACCTGGGACATTCACTTTTTTGCCATTGGCTTCAATGAGCTCCCAAATGTCCATTCACAGAAGGGACAGAAACAATGTTTCCAAACCACTGAATTAAAAGACAGATTTAAATATGGGAGGTAAATGAACACTTCATAAAGCTGTTTCTCAGATTGCTTCCTTCTGGTGCACCCAAATTTTTTTTTTTGCAGTTTCAACAAAAACAATATTTCCAAGCTGCTGAATGAAAAGAAAAGTTTAACTCTCTGATGTGAATGCACACATCACGCAACAGCTTCTCAGAAAGCTTCCCTCCTGTTTTTATCCTGGGATATTCTCTTTTTTGCCACTGGCCTCAATGATCTCCCAAGTGTCCCTTCACAGAATGGAGAAAAACAGTGCTCCAAAACTCCTGAATCAAAACAGATGTTTAACTCTGTGAGATGAATGGAGACATCACAAAGCAGTTTCTCTGAAACTTCCTTCTAATTTTCATTTGAAGATATTTTCTTCTACACCATTGGCCTCAACAATCTCCCAAATGTCCATTGGCAGAATGTACAAAAACAGTGTTTCCAAAAAAGTTGATCAAAAGTAATGATTAAAACTCTGAGACAAATGTGCACATAACAAAGCAGTTTCTGAGATAGCTTCTTTGAAGTTTTTATCATGGGATATTTGCTTTTTCATCATTAGCCACAATGAGCTCCCAAACGTCCATTTGCAGAAGGGGAAAAAAACAGTGTTTCCAAACTGCTGAATCAAAAGAAACGTTTAAATCTGTGAAATGAATGCACACATCACAAAGCAGTTTCTCTGATTGCTTCCTTCTGGTTTTTATCCTGGGATGTTCTCTTTTTCACCATTGGCCTCAAAGAGCTCCAAAATGTCCATTTGCAGAATGAAAAAAAAAAAAACAGTGTTTACAAACAGCTGATTCAAAAGAAAGATTTAAGTCTGTGAGATGAATGCACACATCACAAAGCAGGTTCTCAGAAAGCCTCTTTCTAGATTTTATCTGAAGGTATTTTCTTTTTCTCCATAGGCATCAACGTGCTCCCAAATATCTCTTCGAAGACTCTACAAAAATATGTTTCCAAAATGCTGAATGAAAAGAAAAATTTAACTCTGTGAGTGAATGCATATATCACAAAGCGATTTCTCAAATAGCTTCCTTCTAGTTATCCTGCGACATTTATTTTTTTGCCATGGGCCTCAATGAGCCTCAATGAGCTCCATTTGCAGAATGGACAATAACGGTGCTTCCAAACAGCTGAATCAAAAGAAAGGTTTAACTCTGTGAGATGAATGCACACATCACAAAGCAGTTTCTCAGAAAGCTTCTTCTTAGATTTTATCTGAAGATATTTTCTTTTTCACCATAGGCCTCAATATGCACCCAAATATTTTTTTTGCAGTTCCTACAAAAACAATATTTCCAAACTGCTGAAGGAAAAGAAAAGTTTAACTCTGTGTGGCGAATGCATGCATCACACAACAGTTTCTCAGAAAGTTTCCCTCCTGTTTTTATCCTGGGATATTCCCTTTTTCACCCCAGGCCTCAAAGAGCTCCTAAATGTTCATTCACAGAATGGAGAAAAACAGTATTTCAAAACTCCTGAATCAAAAGGAAGGTTTAACTCTGTGAGATCAATGGAGACACCACAAAGCAGTTTCTCAGAAAGTTTCCCTCCTGTTTTTATCGTGGGATATTCTGTTTTTTGCCACTGCTCTCGATGAGCTCCCAAATGTCCCTTCACAGAATGGAGAAAAACAGTGTCTCCAAACAGCTGAATCAAAAGAAAGGTTTAACTCTGTGAGTTGAATGCACACATCACAAAGCAGGTCCTCAGAAAGCCTCTTTCTAGATATTATCTGAAGATATTTTCTTTTTCTCCATAGGCATCAATGTGCTCCCAAATATCTCTTCGCAGACTCTACAGAAACATTGTCCCAAAATGCTGAATGAAAAGAAAGATTTAACTCTGTGAGATGAATGTATACATCACAAAGCAGTTTCTCAAATAGCTTCCTTCTAGTTATTATCCTGTGACATTTACTTTTTTAGCCATTAGCCTCAATGAGCTCCCAACTGTCCATTTGCAGAATGGAGAAAAACAGTGTTTCCAAACTGCTGAATCAAAACAAAGTTTTAGCTCTGTGAGATGAATGTGCACACCACAAAGCATTTTCTCAGAAAATTTCTTTAGAGTTTTTATCTGATGATATTTGCATTTTCACCATTGGCCTGAAAGTGCTCCCAAATATCCCGTCACAGATTCTACAAAAATAGCATTTCAAAACTGCAAAATGAAATGAAAGGTTTACCTCTGTGAGATGAATGCACCCATTGTACAGCAGATTCTCAGATAATTTCCTTCCAGTTTTTTTCCTGGGATATTTGCTTTTTAGCCATTGGCCTCAATGAGCTCCCAAATATCCATTTGAAGAACCACAAAAACAGTGTTTCCAAACAGCTGAATCAAAAGAAAGTTTTAACACGGGAAGATTAATGCACACATCACACAGTAGCTTCTCAGATAGCTTCCTTCCAGTTTTTATCCTGGGATATTCACTTTTGTGCCATTGACCTCAATGAGCTCCCAAATGTCCATTCACAGAATGGACAAAAAACAGTGTTTCCAAACTGCTCAGTCAAAAGAAAGGTTTACTCTGCGAGATGAATGCACACATCACAAAGCGGTTTCTCAAATATCATCCTTCTAGTTTTTATCCTGGCATATTTGCTTTTACACCATTACACTTATTGAGCTCTCAAATGTACATTTGATGATTGGACAAAAACAGGTTTCCAAACTACTCACACAAAAGAAAAGTTTAACCCTCTGAGATGAATGCCTGCATCACAAAACAGTTTCTCAGAAAGTTTCTTTCTAGTTTTATATGAAGATATATTCTTTTTCACCATAGTCTTCTATGTGCTCCAAAGTGTCTCTTGGTAGATTCTACAAAAGCAGGATTTCCAAACTGCTGAATCAAAGTAAATGTTTAACTCTGTGAGATGAATGCACACAAAACAAAGCTGTTTCTCAGAATGTCTCTTTCTAGTTTTTATCTGAAGATTTTTTCTTGTTCACCATAGGCCTCAATGGGCTCCCAAATATCCATTCGCAGGTTCTACAAAAACAGGGTTTCCACACTGCTGAATGAAAAGAAAGGTTTAACTCTCTGTGTTGAATGCACACATTACAAAGTGGTTTATCAGATAGCCTCATTCTAGTTTTTATCCTGGTATATTCCCTTTTTTGCCAGTGGCCTCAATGAGCTCCTAAATATCCATTCACAGAATGAACAAACACAGCGTTTCCAAACTGCTGAGTCAAAAGAAAAGTTTAACTCTGTGAGATGAATGCACACATCACAAAGCACTTTCTCAGATAGCTTCCTTCCAGTTTTTCTCCCAGGATATTCATTTTTTCACCATTGGCCTCAATGAGCTCCCAAATGTCTGCTCACAGAATGGACAAAAACAGTTTTTCTAGATTGCCCAGTCAAAAGAAAGGTTTAACACTGTGAGATGAATCCACACAACACAAAGCAGTTTTTCAGGAAGCTTCTTTCTCGTTTTTATCTGAAGATAATTTCTTTTTCACCAGAGGTGTCAATGGGCTCCCAAATTTCCCCTCTCAGATTCTCCATAAGCAGTGTTTCCAAACTGCTGAATGAAAAGAAAGTTTTAACTCTGTGAGGTGAATACACACATCACAAAGCTGTTTCTCTGATAGCTTCCTTCTAGTTTTTATCCTGGGACATTCCTGGGATATTCCTGGGAGCTCATTGAGGCCAATGGTGAAAAAGTGAATATCCCAGGATAAAAACTAGAGGGAAGCTCTCTGAGAAACCACTTTGTGTGACATGCATATATCTCTCTCTCAGGCCAATGGCAAAAGGAAATATCCTAGAATAAAAACCAGAAGGAAGCTTTCTGAGAAAACGCATTGTGTTGTGAGCATTACTCTCACAGAGTTAAACCTTTCTTTTCATTCAGCAGTTTTGAAAAACTGTTAATGTAGAATCTGCAAAGGGATATTTGGGAGTGCATTGAGGCTTATGGTGAAACAGAAAATATTTTCACATAAAAAATAGAAAGAAGCATTCTGAGAAACTGCTTTGTGCTTTGTGCATTCATGTCACAAAGTTAAAACTTTCTTTTGATTCAGCAGTTTTGAAACACTGTTTTTGGAGAAACTGCAAGGGGATATTTGAGAGCTCATTGAGGCTTATGTTAAAAAAGAAAATGTCTTCAGAAAAAACTAGAATGAAGCTTTCTGTGAAATTTCTTTGTGATGTGTGCATTCATCTAACAGAATTAAACAATTGTTTTGAATCAACAGTTTGGAAACATTGTTTTTGTCCATTCTGCAAATGGAGATTTGGGAGCTTAATGAGACACTAGGTGAAAAGGCATATATCCCAGGATAAAAACTAGAAGGAATCTATCTGAGAAACTACTTTGTGATGTGTGCATTCATCTCACAGTGTTAAATCTTCGTTTTGATTTAGCAGTTTGTAATCACCGTTTTTGTCCATTCTGTAAATACACATTTGGGAGCTCATTGAGGCCAGTGGTGAAAAAGTGAATATCTCTAGAAGAGAGCTATCTGAGAAACCGCCCTGTGATGTGTGCATTCACCTGGCAGAGTTAAACCTTTCTTCTCATGCAGCTGTTTGGATACAAAGTTATTGTAGACTCTGAGAAGAGATATTTGAGAGCACATTGAGGTCTATGGTGAAAAAGAAAATATCTTCAGATAACCGTTAGAAAGAAGAATTCAAAGAAACTGCTTCATGATGTGTACATTCATGTTCAGAGTTAAAACATGCTTTTGATTCAGCAGTTTGGAAACCCGTTTTTGTCCACTCTGCAAATGGATATTAGGGAGCTCTTTGAGGCCAATGGGGAAAAAACAAATATCCCAGGAATAAAACAAGAATGAATTTATCTGAGAAACGCTTTGTGATGTGTGCATTCATCTTGCAGACTTAAACTTTTCTTTTGATTCAGCAGTGTGGAAACACTGTTTTTGTAGAATCTAAGAAGGAATATTTGGGAGCACATTGAGGCCAACAGTGAAAAAGAAAATATGTTCACATGAAAACTAGAAAGAAGTGTTTAAAACAACTGTTTTGTTATGTATACATTCATGTCCAGAGTTAATAATTTTTTTGATTCAACAAGTTGGAAACACTGTTTTTGTCCATTCTGCAAATGGCTATTTGTGAGTTCAATGAAGCCAATGGCAAAAAAGTGAATATCCTCTGATAAAAACTAGATAGAAAGGATACCCTGGGATATTCGCTTTTTTGCCATTGGAATCAATGAGCTCCCAAATATCCACTTTAAAATATCTTTAAAAACAGTGTTTCCAAACTGCTGAAAGAATTGAAAGGTTTAACTCTGTGAGGTGAATCCACAAATGACAAAATGGATTCTCAGCTAGCTTCCTTCTATTTTTTATCCTGGGAGATTTTTTTTTTTTTTGGCCATTGGCTTCAATGAGTTCCCAATTTTCCATTCACAGAATGGACAAAAACAGTTTTTCCAAACTGCTGAATCAAAAGGAATGTTTAACTCTGTGACTTGAATGCACACATCAAAAGGCAGTTTCTCAGAAAGCTTCTTTCTGGTTTTTATCTGGACATTTTCTTTTTCAAAATAGGCCTGAGTGTTCTCCCAAATATCCTTTCTCAGATTCGACAAAAACAGTGTTTCCAACCTGCTGAATGAAAAGTAAAATTTAACTCTGTGAGATGAATGCACACATCACATCGTGGTCTCTCAGATGGCTTTCTTCTACTTTTTATCCTGGGATATTGGCTTTTTTGCCATTAGCCTGTAAGATTTCCCAAATGTCCATATGCACAATGGAGAAAAACAGTGTTTCCAGACTGCTGAATCTAAAGAAAGGTTTAACACTGTGACATGAATGCTCACATCACAAAGCAGTTTCTCAGATTGTTTCTTTCCAGTTTTTCTCCTGGAATTTTTGCTATTTTGCCATTGGCTTCAATGAGATCCAAAATGTGTGTTCACAGAATGGACAAAAACAGTGTTTCCAAACTGCTGAATCAAAAAAATGGTTTAACACCCTGAGATGAATGCACTCATTAGAGAACAGTTTCTCAGATAGCTATTTTGTAGTTTTTATCTGGGGACTTTAGCTTTTTAGCCATTGGTTTCAATGAGCTCCAAAAAGTACATTCACAGAATGGACAAAAACAGGGTTTCCAAACTGCTGAATCAAAGGAAAGTTTTAAATCTCTGAGATGAATACACACAACAGACAACAGTTTCTCAGAAAGCTTCCTTCTGGGTTTTATCTGAAGATATTTTCTTTTTCACCATAGGCCTCACTGTGATCCCAAATATCCCTTCACAGGTACTACAAAAACAGTGTTTCCTATCTGCTGAATGAAAAGAAATATTTAACTTTGTGAGATGAATGCACACAACATGAAGCAGGTTCTCAGAGAGCTTACTTCCAGGTTTTATTCTGTAATATTCACTATTTCACCATTGGTCTAAGTAAGCTCCCAATCGTCCACTTGCAGAATGGTCGAAAACAGTGCTTCCAAACTGCTGAATCAATAGAAAGTTTTAACTCTGTGAGATGAATGCACACATCAGAAAATAGCTTATCAGAAAGCTTCTTTCTAGTTTTAATCTGAAGATATTTTGTTTTTTACCATAACCCTCAATGTGCTCCCAACATCCCTTTGTAGATTCTACAGAAACAGGGTTTCCAAACTGCTGAATGAAAAGAAAGGTTTAACTCTCGAAGGTGAATGCACACATCCCATAATGGCTTCTCATATAGCTTCCTTCTAGTTTTTATCCTGGGATATTTTGTTTTTTGCCAGGCATCAATGAGCTACCAAATGTCCATCTGAAGAATGGACAAAAACAGTGTTTCCAAACTCCTGAAAAAAAAAATAAGAAACCTTTAACTCTGTGAGATGAGTGGACATATCACTAAGCAGTTTCTCAAATGCTTCTTTCTAGTTTTTATCTGAAGATATTTCCTTTTTCGCCATAGGGCTAAAAACACTCCCAAATATCTCTTTGCATATTCTACAAAAACAGAGTTTTCCAACTGCTGAATGAAAAGAAAGGTTTAGCTCTGTGAGATGAATGCACACATCACAAAGCAGTTTCTCAGAAAGCTTCTTTATAGTGTTTATCTGAAGATATTATCTTTTTCATAAAAGTCCTCAATTCTCAGCAAAACATTCCCTCACAGATTCTACCAAAACATTGTTTAAAAACTGCTGAATCTAAGCACAGTTTTAACTCTGTGAGATAAATGCACACATCACAAAGCAGTTTTCAGAATGCTTCTTTCTAGTTTTTATGTGAAGATATTTTCTTTTTTGCTATAGTCCTCAGTGTGCTCCCAAATTTCGTTTTTCAGATTCTACAAAAACAGTGTTTCCAAACTGTTGAAAGAATAGAAAAGTTTAACTCTGCGAGATAAATGCACACATCACCAAGTGGTTTCTCAGATAGATTCCTTCCACTTTATATCCTGTTATATTCTGTTTTTTGCCCTTGGCCTCAATGAGCTAAAAACATCAGTTCACAGAATTGATAAAAACAGTGTTCTCAAACTGCTGAATCAAAAGAAAGGTTTAACTCTGCAAGATGAATGCACACATCAAAAAGTGGTTTCTGAGATATCTTCCTTCTAGCGAATATCCTGGAATATTTGCCTTTTTGCCATTGGCCTCAATAAGCTACCAAATGTCCATTCACAGAATGGACAAAAACATTGTTTCCAAACTGCTGAATCAAAAGAAAGGCTTAATTCTGTGAGATTAAAGCACACATCACAAAGTGGTTTCTCAGACAACTTTTTCTATTTTTTATCCCGGGATATTCCCTTTTCTGTCATAGACCTCAATGAGCTCCCAAATGTCCATTCGCAGAATGGACAAAAATAGTCTTTCCAAACTCCAGAATTAATAAAAATGGTTTAACTCTGTGAGATGAATGGGCACAGTACAAAGGTGTTTCTCAGAAATCTTCTTACTGGTTTTTATCTACAGACATTTTCTTTCACCCCATAGGCCCCAATGCACTCCCAAATATCTGTTTGCAGATTCTACAAAAACAGAGTTTCCCAACTGCTGAATGAAATTAAAAGTTTAACTATGTGAGATAAATGCACACATCACAAAGCAGATTCTCAGATAGTTCCTTCTAGATTTTATCATGGGAAATTCACTTTTTCACCATTGGCCTCAATGTGCTCCCAAATGTCCATTCACAGAATGGACAATAAGTGTGTTTCCAAACTTCTGAATCAATAGAAAGGTTTATTTCTGTGACATGAAGGCACACATCACAAAGGACTTTCTCAGAAAGCTTCTTTCTAGTTGTTATCTGAAGGTATTTTATTTTTCACCATAGTACTCAATGTGCTCCCAAATATCCCTTTGCAGATTGTACAAAAACAGTTTTTCCAAATCTTTCTTTTGATTGAGCAGTTTGGATACACTCTTTTTGTCCATTCTGTGAAATGACATTTGGAAGCTCATTGAGGAAAATGGCACAAAAGAAATAACCCCAGATGAAAACTAGAAAGAAATTATCTGAGAAACCACTCTGTGATATCTGTATTTATCTCACAGAGTTAAACGTTTCTTTTCCTTCAGCATATATTGGAGTGCATTGAGGCCTATGGTGATAAAGAAAATATTTTAGGATAAAAACTAGAAAGAAGCTTTCTGAGAAACTGCTAAGTGTTGTACATATTCATCTCACAGTTTTAAAACTTTCTTTTGATTCAGTACTTTGGAAGCACTGTTTTTGTCCGTTCTGAGAATGGACATTTGGGAGTTCATTGAGGCCAATGGTGAATAAGGGAATACCCCAGGATAAAAACTAGAAGTAAGCTATCTGAGAAACTGCTGTTTGATGTGTGCATTCATCTCACAGACTTAAACTATTTTTTTGAATCAGCAGTTTGGAAACACTGTTTTTGTCAATTTGACCAATGGACTTTTGGGAGCTCATTGAGGTTAAACTCAACAAAATGAATACACTCAGTACAAAATAGAAGGAAGCTATCTGAGAAACTGTTTGTGAAGTGTGTATTCATTTCATGGATTTAAACATTTCTTTTGATTCAGCAGTTTGTAAGCACTGTTTCTGTCCATTCTGTGAATGGATATTTGGGAACTGATTGAAGCCAATAGTGAAAAGTGAAAATCCCAGGATTAAAAACTGGAAGGAACCTATCTGAGAAAACGCTTTGTGATGTGTGTATTCATCTCGCAGACTGAAACCTTTTATTTCATTCAGCCCTTTGGAAAAACTGTTTTTGTAGAATCTGTGAAGGGATATTTGGGAGTGCTTTTAGGCTATGGTGAAAAAGAAAATATCTTCAGATAAAAACTAGAAAGGAGCTTTCTTAAAAACTTCTTTGTGAAGTGGGCATTTATCTCACAGAGTTAAACTTTGTTTTGATTCAGCAATTTGGAAACACTGCTTTTGTCCATTCTGTGAATGGACATTTTGGTGCTCACTGACTCCAACAGTAAAAAGGGAATATCCCAGGAAAAAACTACAATTAAGCTATCTGACAAACCGCTTTACAAAGTGTGCGTTCATCTGGCAGAGTTAAAGCTTTATTTTCTTTAAGCAGTTTGGAAAGACTGTTTTTGTCGAATCTGAGAAGAAATATTTGGGAACACATTGAGGCATAAGGTGAAAAATAAAATATCTTCTGATAAAAGCTAGAAAGAAGCTTTCTGTGAAGCTGTTTTGTGATGTGTGCATTCATCTTACAGAAATAAAACTTTCTTTTGATTCAGTTGTTTGGATACACTGTTTTTTTCAATTCAGCAAATGGACATTTTTGAGCTCATTGAGGCCAATGGGGGAAAAGTGTATATTGCAGGATAAATACCAGCATGAAACTATCTGAGAAACTACATTGTGATGTGCACATTCATCTCACAGACTTAAACCTTTCTTTACATTGTGCAGTCCAGAAACACTGTTGTTGTAGAATCTGTCAAGGGATATTTGGAAGTGTAAAAAGGCCTATGGTGAAAAAGAAAATATCTTCAGATATAAACTATAAAGAAGGTTCCTGAGAAGTTGCTTTGTGATGTGTGCATTCATATCACAGAGTTAAGCCTTTCTTTTGATTCACCAGTTTGGAAACACTGTTTTTGTCCATTCTGCGAATGGATATGTGGGAGCTCATTGAGGCCAATGGTGAAAACGCCAATATCCCAGGATAAAAACTAGAGGAAAGCTATCTGAAAAACCGGTTTTTTATGTGTCCATTCATCTCACACAGTTAAACCTTTCTTTTGTTTTAGCATTTTGGAAACACTGTTTTTGTCCACTTGGAGAATGGATTTTTGAGAGCTCATTGAGGCCAAAAGTGAAAAAGTGAATATCACAAGATAAAAACTAGAAGAAAGCTATCTGCCAAACCACCTTGTGATATTCGCATTCATCTTGCAGAGTAAAACCTTTCTTTTGATTCAACAGTTCAGAAACCCTTTTTTTGTCCATTCTGTGGATGGACATTTGGGAGTTCATTGAGGCCACTAGTGAAATAGTGAATATTCCTGGATAAAAACAGGAAGGAAACTATCTGAGAAAATGCTTCATGTTGTGTGTATTCATCTCACAGAGTTAAACCTTTCTTTTGATTCAGCAGTTTGGAAACACTATTTTGTCCATTCTATGAATGGACATGTGGGAGCTCATTGAGGCCAATGGGGAAAAAGCCAATGTCCCAGGATAAAAACTAGAAGGAATCTATATGAAAAACCACTTTATGATGTGTCCATTCATCTCACACAATTAAACCTTTCTTTTGATTCAGTAGTTTGGAAACACTATTTTTGTCCATTCGGAGAAAGGATATTAGAAAGCTAATTGAGGCAAATACCGAAAAAGTAAATATCCCAAGATAAAAACTAGAAGGAAGCCATCTGCCAAACTACTTTGTGATGCTCGTATTCATGTTGCAGAGAAAAGCATTTCTTTTGATTCAGCAGTTCAGAGACACTGTTTTTGTCCATTCTGTAAGTGGACATTTGAGAGCTCATTGAGGCCAATGGTGAAACAGTGAATATTTCAGGATAAAAACTGGAAGGAACTTATATGAGAAACCGCTTCATGATGTGTGCATTCTTCTCTCAGAGTTAAACGTTTATTTTGATTTAGCCGTTTTGAAACACTATTTCTGTCTATTCTGTGAATGGAGATTTGGGAGATCATTGAGGCCAACGGTGAAAAAGCAAGTATCCCAGGATGAAAAGTAGAAAGAAGCTATCTGAGGAACTGCTTTATGATGTGCACATTCATTTCACAGAGTTAAAACTCTTTTCATTCAGCAGTTTGGAAACACTGTTTTTGGAGAATCTGTGAAAGGATATATTGGAGTGCATAGAGGCAAATGACAAAAAAAGTGAACATTACAGGATATTCACTAGAAGGAAGCTATCGGAGAAACAGCTTTTTGAATTGTGCATTCATCTCACAGAGTTAAACTTTTCTTTTGATTCAGCAGTTTGAAAACACTGTTTTTATCCATTCTATGTGTGGATGATTTTAGCTCATTGAGGCCAAGGGTGAAAAAGAGAAAGTAACAGGATGAAAACTGGAAGGAAGCTGTCTGAGAAACTGTTTTGTGAAGTGTGCATTCACCTCACAGATTTAAAACTTCCTTTTCATTCAGCAGTTGAGAAACACTGTTTTTGTCCATTCTGTGAATGGACATTTGAGAGCTCATTGAGGCCAATGGCAAAAAAGAGAATATCCCAGGATAAAATCTATAAAGAAGCTATGTGAGAAACCACTTTGGGATGTGTGCATTCATCTCATAGAGATAAATCTTCCTTTTCATTCAGAGTTTGGATACACTGTTTTAGTTCATTCTTCAAACAGACATTTTGGAGCTCATTGAAGCCAATGAAGAAAAAGTGAATATCCCAGGATAAAAAGTAGGAGAAAGCTATCTGAGAAACCGGTTTGTGATGTGTGCATTCACCTCACAGAGTTTAAGCTTTGTTTTGATTCAGCAGTTTGGAAATATTCTTTGGCCTATTCAGAGAAAGGACATTTGGGAACTTTTCAAGGACAATGACAAAAAGGCGAATAACCCAGGATAAATACTAGAAAGAAACCAACTGAAAAACTGCTTTGTGATGTGTCCATTCACCTCACAGTGTTATACCTTTCTTGTAATACAGCAGTTTGGAAACACTTTTGTTGTAGAATGTGTGAAGGGATATTTGGGAGCGCATTGAGGCCTATGTGAAAAAGAAAATATCTTCAGATAAAAAGTAGAAAGAAGCTCTCTGAGAAACTGCTTTGTGATGTGTGCATTCACCTCACAGAGTTAAACCTTACTTTTGATTTAGCACTTTCAAAACACTGTTTATCTGCATTCTGCGAATAGACATTTGGGAGATCATTGAGACCAATGGCAAAAAAGCAAATATCCAAGGATGAAAACTAGAAGGAAGCTATCTGAGAAACCACTTTGTGATGTGTGCATTCAACTCACAGATTGAAACCTTTATTTTCATACAGCAGTTTGGAAACACTGTTTTTGTAGAATCTGCAAATTGATATTTGAGAGTACATTGAGGCCTAAGGGGTAAAAGTAAGTATCTTCAGATTAAAACTAGAAAGAAACTTTTTGAGAAACTGCTTTGTGATGTGTGTATTCATCTCGCAGACTGAAACCTTTTTTTTGATTCAGCAGTTTGGAAACACTGTTTTTGTCCATTCTGCAAATGAACATGTTGGAGCTCATTGAGGCCAATGGCGAAAAAGAGAATATCCCAGTGTAAAAATTAGAATGAAACTATCTGAGAAATAGTTTTGTGATGTGTGCATTTGTCACACAAATTTAAACATTTCTTTTCATTCAGCAGTTTGGAAACACTGATTTTGTAGATTCTGTGAAGGGCTATTTGGAAGTGCATTGAGATCTACTGTGAAAAAGAAAATATCTTTAGATAAAAACTAGAAAGAATCTTTCTGAGAAACTGCTTTGTGATGTGTGCATTCATCTAGAAAAGTTAAAATTTTATTTAGATTCAGCAGTTTGGGAGCACTGTTTCTGTCCATTCTGCGAATGGACATTGGAGAGCTCATTAAGGGCAATGGCAAAAAAAATAATATCCCAGGATAAATACTAGAAGGAAGCTATCTGCAAAACCGCTTTGCTATGTGTGCATTCATCTGTCAGAGTTAAAACTTTCCTTTCATTCAGGGGTTTAAAACTGTTTTTGTCCATTTTGCAAATGGACATTTGGGAGCTCATTGTGGTCAATGGCAAAAAAGCAATTATCCCAGGTTAAATACAAGAAACAAGGTATCTGAGAAACCGCTTTGTGATGTGTGCATTCATCTCACAGAGTTAAACCCTTCTTTTTCATTCAGCAGTATAGAAACAGTTTTCTTGTAGAATCTGCAAAGGGATATTTGGGAGTGCATTGAGGCCTATGGTGAGAAAGAAAATATCTTCAGATAAAAGCTAGAAAGAAGCTTTTGGAGAAGCTGCTTTGTGACGTGTGCATTCATCTCACAGAGTTAAACCTTTCTTTTGATTCTGGATTTTGGAAACACTGTGTTTGTCCATTCTGGAAATAGCCATTTTTGAGCTCATTGAGGCCAATGGTGAAAAATAAAATATCCCAGCATAAAAACTAGAAGGAAGCTATCTGAGAAACTGCTTTGTGATGTGTGCATTCATCTCACTGATTTAAACCCTTCTTTTATTCAGCAGTTTGGAAACACTGCTTTTGTTCTTCCTGTGAAAGGACATTTTGGAGCTCATTGGGGCCAATGGCAAAAAAGCGAATATACCAGGATAAAAAAAAGAATGAAGCTGTCTGAGAAACCGCTTTTTGATGTGTGCATTCACCTGGCAGAGGTAAACTTTCCTTTTCAGTCAGCAGTTTTTGTAGAATCTGTGAAGGGATATTTGCGAGTGCATTGAGGCCTGTGGTGAAAAAGGAAATGTCTTCAGATAAAAATTAGAAAGAAGTTTCCTGAGAAACTGCTTAAAGAGGTGTGCATTCCTCTCACAGGGTTAAACCTTTTTCCTTTGATTTATCAGTTTGGAAACACTGTTTTTGTACATTCTGGGAATGGACATTAGGGAACTCACTGATGCCATTTGTGAAAAACTGTATACCCCAGGAAAAAAAGTGGAAGGATATTATCTGAGAAACCCCTTTGTGAAGTCAGCATTTGTCTCTCAGAGTTAAATCTTTCTTTTCATTCAGAAGTTTGGAAACACTGTTTTTGTTGAATCTGCCAAGTAATATTAGGGAGTACGTTGAGGCCTAGGGTGAAAAAGAAAATATATTCAGATAAAAACGAAAAGAAGCTTTCTGAGAAACTTCTTTGCGATGTGTGCATTCATCTCACTGAGTGAAAACTTACTCTTGATTCAGCAGTTTGGAGACCCTTTTTTGTGCATTCTGTGAATGGACATTTAGGAGCTCGTTGAGTCCAAAGGTGAAAAAGTGAATATCTGAGGATAAAACCTACTAGGAAGTTATTGTGAAACCGTTATGTGATGTCTGCATTTATCTCACAGAATTAATCCTTTCTTTTCATTCATCAGTTTGGAAACACTGATTTTGTGGAAACTGCTGAGGAATATTAGGGAGTTCATTGAGGCTTAGGGTGAAAAAGAAAATATCTTCAAATAAAAACTAGAAAGATGGTTTCTGAGAAATTGCATTGTTATATGTGCATTCATCTCACAGAGTTATACCTTTCTTTACCTTCAGCAGTTTGTAAACACTGTTGTTGTCCATTCTGACTACAGACATTTGGGAGGTCTTTGAGGCCAAAGGTGAAAAAGTGAACATAACAGGATAAAAATTAGGAGGAAGCTATCTGAGAAACAGCTCTGTGTTGTCTGCTTTTATCTCATAGAGTAAAACCTTTCTTTTCATTTGTCAGTTTGGAAACTGTTTTTCTGGAATCTGCCAAGTAATATTAGGTAGTGCATTGAGGTCTATGGTGAAAAAGAAAATATATTCAGATTAAAACTTGAAAGAAGCTGAGAAACTGCTTTGTGATGTGTGCATTCATCTCTCAGAGTTAAACTTTTCTTTTGATTCAGCAGTTTGGAAACACTGTTTTTGTCCATTATGTGAGTGGACATTTGGGAGCTCTTTGAGGCCAATGGTGAAAAAGTGAATATCCCAGGATAAAAACTAGAAGGAAGGTATCTGAGAAACCACTTTATGATGTGTGCATTCATATCACAGAGTTAAATTCTTCTTTTCATTCAGCAGTTTGGAAAAATTTTTTGTTTGAATCTGCCAAGGTATATTTGGGAGTGCGTTGAGGACTATGTTGAAAAAGAAAATATGTTGAGATAAAAACTAGAAAGAAGCTTTCTGAGAAAATGCTTTGTCATGTGTACATTCCTCTCACAGAGTTAAACCTTTCTTTTGATTCAGCAATTTGGAAACACCGTTTTTGTCCATTCTACAAATGGACATTTGGGAGCTTGATGAGGGCAAAGGCAAGAAAGCCAATATTGAAGGATAAAAACTAGAAGGAAGCTATCTGGAAAATATCTTTGTGATGTGTGCATTCATCTCACAGAGTTAAACCTTTCTTTTGATTCAATTGTTTGGAAACACAGTTTTTGTCCATTCTCTGAATGGACATTTTGAAACTAGTTGAGGCCAATGGTGAAAAAGTGAATATCTCAGAATAAAAACTAGAAGGAAGTTATCTGAAAAACCACCTGGTTTGGTGTTCATTCAACTCTCAGAGTTATAACATACTTTTCATTCAGCAGTTCTGAAAAACTGATTTTGTAGAATCTGTGAAGGGATATTTGGGGGCGCATTGAGGCCTATGGTGAAAAAGGAAATATCTTCAGATAAAAACAAGAAAGAAGCTTTCTGAGAAACTGCTTCATGAGGTGTGCTCTCATCTCAAACAGATAAACCTTTCTTTTGATTCAGCAGTTTGGAAACACGGTTTTTGCCCTTATGCGAATGGACACTTGTGAGCTCCTTGAGGCCAATGCCATAAAACTGAATATCACAGGACAAAAACTATAAGGAAGCTATCTGAGAAACTGCTTCATGATGTGTACATTCACCTCATAGAGTTAAACGTTTATTTTCACTCAGCAGTTGCTAAACAATGTTTGTGTAGAAACTGCAAAGGTATATTTGGGAGCACATAGAGGCCTATGGTGAAAATGAAAATGTCTTCAGATATAAATTATAAAGAACCTTTCTGAGAAACTACTTTGTGATGTGTGCTTTTATTTCACAGAATTAAACCCTCCTCTTGACTCACCTGTTTGGAAACACTGTTTTTGTCTATTGTAAGGGTGGACATTTGGGAGCTCATTGTGGCCAATGGAGAAAAAGCAAATATCCCAAGATAAAAACTGGAAGGAAGCTATCTGAGAAACTGCTTTGTGATGTGGGCATTCATCTCACAGAGTTAAACCTTTCTTTTCATTCATCATTTTGGAAACACTGTTTTCTAGGATCTGTGAAGGGACATTTTCGATCACATATAGGCCTATGTTGAAAAAAATTTTTCAGATACTAACTAGAAAGTATGTTACTGAGAAACCGCTTTGTGACATGTGCATTTTCTCACAGAGTTAAACCCTTCTTTTCATTAAGTAGTTTGGAAACACTGTTTTTGTACATTCTGTGAATGGACATTTAGGAGCTCACTGAGGCCAATGGCAAAAAAGGAGTATCCAAGAAAAAAAACAGGAAGGAAGCTGTCTGAGAATCCACTTTGTGATGTGCATTCACCTCACAGAGTTAAACCTTTGTTTTCATTCAGCAGTTTGGAAACATTGTTTTTGTAGAATCTGCAAAGAGATATTTGGGAGGGCATTGAGAGCTAAGGCAAAAAAGCAAACATCCGAGGAAAAAAACTAGAAATAAATTATCTGAGAAATGGCATTATGAAGTGTGAATTCATTTTGCAGTGTTAAACCTTTATTTTCATTCAGTAGTTTGGAAATGCTGTTTTTGTCAAATCAGCAAAGGGATATTTTGGAGTGCATTGAGGCCAATGGTGAAAAAGAAAATATCTTCAGATAAAAAGTAAAAGGAAGCTTTCTGAGAAACTGCTTTTTGATGTGTGCATTCATCTCACAGAGATAAACTTTCCATTGATGCAGCAGTTTGGAAACACCAGTTTGTCTTTTCTGTGAGTGGACATTTGGGAGATCATAGAGGCCACTGGAGAAAAAGCAAATATCCAGACACAAAAACTAGAAGGAAACTATCTGAGAAAATGCTTTGTTACATATGCATTCACCTCGCAAAGTTAAACCTTTTTTTCATTAAGCAGTTTGGAAACAATGATTTTGTAGAATATGCGAAGGCATATTTGGGAGCATTTTGAGACCATGGTGAAAAAGAAAATACAGACAAAAACTAGAAAGAAGCTTTCCGAGAAACTGCTTTGACAGGTGTACATTCCTCTCACAGCTAAACCTCTCTTTCAATAGAGTAGTTTGGAAATACTGTTTTTGTCCATTCTGTGAATGGACATTTGGGAGCTCATGGAGGCCAAAGGTTAAGTAGCAAATGTTCCCTGATAAAACTGGAAGGAAATTATATGAGAAACTGCTTTGGTTATGTGCATACATCACACAGAGTTAAACCTTATTTTCTTTCAGCAATATGGAAACACTGTTTTTGTGGAATCTGCAAGGGGATATTTTGGAGCATATTAAGGCATATGGTGAAAAATAAAATATCTTCAGATAAAAAGTAGAAAAAAGCTTTCTGAGAAGCTGCTTTGTTATGTGTGCTTTCAACAAACAGAGTTAAACCTTTCTTTTGATTCAGCAATTTGGAAACACCATTTTTATCTATTTGGAGAATGGACATTTAGGAACTCTTTGCAGCCAATGGCGAAAAAGTGAATATCCCAGGATAAAAACTAGAAGAAAGTTTTCTGAGAACCAGCTTTGTGATGTGAGCATTCATCTCACAAAGTTAAACCTTTCTTTTGATTCAGCAGTTTGGAAACACTGTTTTTATCTATTCAGAGAATGGACATTTCAGATCTCTTTGAGCCCCAAGGTGAAAAAGTGAATCTCCCATAATAAAAAATAGAAGGAATCTATCTCATAAACTGCCTTGTGATGTGTACATTCACCTCAAAGAGTTAAACTTTTCATTCAGCAGTTTGGAAAAACTGTTTTGGTAGAATCTGCAAAGGTGTACTTGGGAGCACATTGGGGCCAAACTAGAAGTTTCCTTTTAGTTTATATCTGATGATACTTTCTTTTTCACCAGAGGTCTCAATGTGCTCCCACCTATCCCTTCGCAGAGACTACAAAAACAGTGATTCCAAACTGCTGAATGAAAATAAATGTTTCAGTCTGTGGGATGAGTGCACATATCACAAAGCCATTTCTCATATAGCTTCTTTCTAGTTTTCATCCTGGGATATTCACTTTTTCACCTTTGGCCTCAATGAGCTCCCAAATGTCCATTCACAGAATGGACAAAAATAGTGTTTCCAAACTGCGGAAAGAAAAGAAAGGTTTCAATATGTGGGATGAATGCGCACATCACAAAGCAGCTTCTCAGATAGATTCCTTCTCATTTTTATCTGGGATTTTTGATTTTTCCCCGTTGGCCTCAATGAGCTCTCAAATGTTCATTTGCAGAATGGACAAAAACAGTTTCCAAACTGCTATATAAAAGGAAACTTTATCTCTGTGAAATGAATACACAAATCATTAAGAGGTTTGTCAGAGTGCTTCCTTCTAGTTTTTATCCTAGGATATTCCCTTTTTCACCACTGGCCTCAACAAGCTCCAAATGTCCATTCACAGAATGGACAGTGTTTCCAAACCAAGGAATCAAAAGAAAGGTTTATCTTTGTGAGATGAATGCACCCTTCACAAAGCAGTTTCTCAGAAAACTTCTTTCTAGTTTTTATCTGAAGATATTTTATTTTTCACCATCAGCCTCAATGTGCTCCCAAGTATCGCTTTGCAGATTCTGCAAAAACAGCATTTCCAAACAGCTGAATGAAAAAAAGTTTAACTCTATGGGATGAATGCATACATCACAAAGTGGTTTCTCAGATAGCTTCCTTGTAGTTTTCATCTGGGCATATTTTCTTTTTCACCATTGGCCTCAATGAGCTCCCAAATATCCATTCAGAGTATGGACAAACACAATGATTCCAAACTGCTGCATGAAAAGAAAGGTTTAACACTGTGAGATGAATGCACACATCACAAAGTAGTTTATCAAAAATCTTCTGTCTAGTTTTTATCTGAAGATATTTTCTTTTTCAGCATAGGCCTCAAGGCACTTGCTAATATTCCTTCACAGATTCTACAAAACAGTGTTTCCAAACTGCTGAATGAAAAAAAAGTTTTAACTCTGTGTGATGAATGCACACATCACAGAGCGGTGTCTCAGATAGCTTCCTTTTCTTGTTTATCCTGGGACATTCGCTTTTTCACCATTGGCCTCAATGAGCTCCCAAATATTCATTCGGATCATGGACAAACACAGTGATTCCAAACTGCTGCCTCAAAGGAAATGTTTAAATCTGTGAGGTGAATGCACACATAACAAATTGCTATCTCACATAGCTTCCCTCTGGTTTTTATCTTGGGATATATGCGTTTTTGCCATGGGCCTCAATGAGCTCCCAAATGTCCATTCACAGATTGGAAAAACAGTGTTTCCAAACTGCTGAATCAAGAGTAAGGTTTAACTCTGTCAGATGAATGCATACTTCACAAGGTAGTTTCTCAGAAACCATCTTTCTATTTTTTATCTAAAGATATTTTCCTTTTCACCATAGGCCTCAAAGCACTTGCAAATATCCCTTTGTAGTTTGTACAAAAACAGTGCTTCCAAACTGCTGAATGAAAAGAAAGGTTTAAAGGACTTTGTGAGATGAATGGACACTTTGTAAAGCAGCTTCCCAGACAGCTTATTGTAGTTTTTTTCCTGGCGTATTCTTTTTCACCTGCAGCCTCAATGAGCTCCCAAATGTCCATTCACAGAAAAGACAATAGCAGTGTTTCCTAACTGCTGAATCAAAAGAATGTTTTAACTCTGTGAGAAGAATGCACACATCACAAAGCAGTTTCTCGGAAAATTTCTTTTTAGTTTTTATCTGAATATATTTTTTCAACATATGCCTCATTACATTCCCAAGTATCCCTTCACAGATTCTACAAAATCAGTTTTTCCAAACTTCTGAATGAAAGGAATGTTTTAACTCTGTGAGATGAATGCACACATCACAAAGCAGTATCTCAGAAACCTTCTATCTAATTTTTTTTCTGAAGTTATTTTCTTTCTCATCATCAGCCTAAATGTGGTCCCAGATGTCCATTCGCAGAATGAAAAAAACAGTGTTGAATAAAAAGAAAGGTTTACCTAGGTGCAGTGAATGCAGACATCACAAAGCAGTTTATCAGAAAGCTTCTTCATAGTTTCTATAATGGGACATTCGATTTTTCACCATTGGACTCAATGAGCTCCCAAATATCCATTCAAACAATGGACAAAAATGGTATTTCCAAACTGCTGAATGAAAAGAAAGTTTTAACTCTGCCAGATGAATGCATACATTGCAAGTCTGTTTCTCAGACAGCTTCCTTCTAGTTTTTATCCTGGTATATTCGTTGTTTCTCCATTGGTCTCCATGAGCTCCAAAATGTCCACTCACAGAATGGAAAAAGAAAGTGTTTCCAAACCACTGAATCAAAAGAAAATTTTAACTATGTGTGATGAATTCACATATCACAAAACAGTTTCTCAGAAAGTTTTTTCCAGTTTTTATCTGAGGGTATTTTGTTTTTCACCATAGGCTTCAATGCACTCTGAAATATCCCCTTGCAGATTCTTCAAAAACAGTGCTTCCAAACTGCTGAATGAAAAAAAAAGGTTTAAATCAGGGAGATGAATGCACATATAATGAAGCAGTTTCTCACATTTCTTCTTTCAAATTTTTAGCTGAAGAGATTTTCTTTTTCATCACAGACCCCAATGTGCTCCAAAATATAACTTCAAAGATAATACAGAAACAGTGTTTCCAAACAGCTGAATTAAAAGAGATGTTTACCTCTACGAGATGAATACACACATCAAAAAGCAGTTTCTCAGATTTCTTCCTCTTAGTTTTTATCCTGGGACATTTGCCTTTTCACCATTGACCTCAATAAGCTCCCAAATGTCCATTCACTGAACAGATAAAAGAGTGTTTCCAAACTTCTGAATCAAAATAAATGTTTAACACTGTGAGCTGAATGTGCTCATCACAAAGCAGTTTCTCAGAGAGATTCTTTCTAGTTTTTATCTGAAGATATTTTCCTTATCACCATAGGCCTCAAAGCAACCCCAGATATCCTTTTACAGGTTCTGCAAAAAGAGTGTTTCCAAACTGCTGAATGAAATGAAAGTTTTAAATCTGTGAGATGAATGCACACATCAGAAAGTACTTTCTCAGATAGCTTCCTTCTAGTTTTTATCATGGGATATTCACTTTTCACCATTGGGTTGAATGAACTCCAAAAAGTCCATTCACAGAATGGACAAAAACTTTTTCCACACTGCTGAATCAAATGAAAGGTTTATCTCTGTGAGATGAATGCCCACATCACAAAGTAGTTTCTCAGAAATTTCTGTCTAGTTTTTATCTGAATTTATATTGTTTTTCACCATTGGCCTCAGTGAGATCCTAAATGTCCACTCACAGGTTCTACAAAAACAGTGCCTTTAAACTGCTGAATGAAAAGAAAGATTTAACTCCTCAAGCTGAATGAACACATCAAAAAACAGTTTCTCAGATACCTTCCTTCTAGTTTTTATCCTGGGGTATTCCCTTTCTTTGTCATTGGCCTCAGAGAACTCCAAAATGTGCTTTCACACAATGGACAAAAAGAGAGTTTCCATATTACTGAGAAAGGTTTAACTCTGTGAGATGAATGCACACATCACAAAGCACACATCACAAAGCAGTTTCTCAGAAAGCTTTTTATAATTTTTATCTGAAGATATTTTCTTTTTCACCACATGCCTCAATGCTCTCCTAAATATCCCTTCGCAGATGCTACAAATACAGTGTTTCCAAACAGCTGAATAAAAAGAAAGGTTTACCTCAGCCAGATGAATACACACATCACAAAGCAGTTTATCAGATAGGTTCTTCATAGTTTTTATCATAGGACATTCGATTTTTCACCATTGGACCCAAAGAGCTCCCAAAAGTCCATTTGCAGAATGGACAAAAACAGTGTTTCCAAAAGGTTGAATGAAAAGAAAAGTTCAATTCTTCGAGATGAGTGTACACATCACAAAGCAGTTTCTCAGACAGCTTTCTCTTAGTTTTTATATTGGGACATTTTGTTTCTCACTTTTGGCTTCAATGAGCTCCGTAATATCCATTTGCAGAATGGACTAAAGCAGCGTTTCCAAAATGCTGAATCAAAAGAAAGGTTCAACTCTGTGAGCTGAATGCACACATCACAAAGCAGTCACACAGAAAACTTTTTTCTATATTTTATCTGAGGACATTTTCTTTTTCACCATACTCCTCAATGTGCTCCCAAATATCCATTCACAGATTCTACAAAAATGGTGGCTCCAAACTGCCTAATGAAAAAAAGATTTAACTCAGGGAGTTGAATGCACACATCACAAAGCAGTTTCTCAGATAGCTTCCTCTTATTTTTTATCCTTGGACATCCTCTTTCCCCATTGGCCCCAATTTTCTCCCAAATGCTTATTCACAGAATGGACAAAAAGAGTGATTCCAAACTGCTGAATCAAAAGAAAGGTTTAACTCAGTGAGATGAATGCACACATCATAAAGAAGTTTCTCAGAATTATTCTTTCTAGTTTTTATCTGAAGATATTTACTTTTTCACCATAGGCCTCAATATGCTCCCAAATATCCCTCTGCAGACACTACTAGAAGGAAGATAGCTTCCTTCTAGTTTTTATCCTGGGATATTCCCTTTTTCTCCATTGCTCTCAATGAGCTCCCAAATGTCCAATCACAGAATGGGCAACAACAGTGTTTCCAAACTGCTGAACGAAAAGAAAAGAAAGTTTTAATTCTGCAAGATGAATATACACATCAGAAAGCGGTTTCTCATATAGCTTCCTCTCAGTTTTAATCCTGAGACATTCACATTATCACCATTGGCCTCACAGTGCCCCCAAATATCCATTCGCAGAATGGACTGAAACAGTGTTCCAAGGTGCTGAATCATAAGACAATTTTAACTCTGTGACATGAATGCATACATCTAAAAGCACTTTCTCAGAAAGATACATTCTAGTTATTACCTGAAGACATTTTCTTTTCCATAATAGGCCTCAGTCAGCTGTGAATTGTCAATTCGCAGATTCTACCAAAAAATGTTTTCCAACTGCTGCATGAAAATAAAGATTTAACTCCTCAATTGAATGCACACATCACAAAGCGGTTTCTCAGATAGCTTCTTTCTAGTTTTTATGCTGGGATATTTGCTTTTTAGCCATTCACCTCAATCATCTCTCAAATGTCCATTCACACAATGGACGAAAAAACGGTTTCCAAAGTGCTAAATGAAAAGTTTAACTCTGTGAGATGAATGCACATATCACAAAGCGGTTTCTTGGACAGCTTACTTCTAGTTTTTATCCTTAGTTATTCGCTTTTTCAACATTGGACTCAGTGAGCTCCCAAAGGTCCATTCACAGAATGGACAGAACACTGTTTCCAAACTGCCAAATGAAAAGAAATATATGACACTGCAAGATGAATGCACACATCACAAAGAGTTTCCTCAGATAACTTCTTTCTAATTTCCTTTTTCACCATAGGCCTCAATGAGCTCCCAAATATCCCTTTGCAGATGCTACAAAAAAAGTGTTTCTAAACTGCTGAATGACAAGAAATGTTTCACTTTGTGGGATAAATGCACACACCACAAAGCGATTTCACAGATGGATTCCTTCTACTTTTTATCTTGGGATTTTCGAGTTTTTCCTTTTGGCCTCAGTGAGATCCCAAATGTCCATTCACAGAATGGACAAAATCAGTGTTTCCACACTGCCGAGTCAAAGGAATGCTTTAACTAAGTGAGGTAAATGCACACATCACAAAGGAGTATCTCAGAAAGTTTCCTTCTACTTTTTATGTGAAGATATTTTCTTTTTCACAATAGGCTTCAATGTGCACCCAAATATCCATTTGCAGTTTCCTCAAAAACAGTGTTTCCAAACTGCTGAATGAAAAGTATGGCTTTACTCTGTGAGATGAAAGCACAAGTCACAAAATGGTTTCTCAGATAGTTTCTTCTAGTTTTTATAATAGGATATTCACTTTTTTGCCTTGGGCCTCAAATAGCTCCAAAATGTCCACTCACAGTGTGGACAAAAACAGTGTTTTCAAACTGCTAAATAAAAAGAAATGTTTATCTCTGTGAAGTGAATGCAAACATCACCAAGCAGTTTCTCAGAAAACTTCTTTCTCGTTTTTATCTGAAGATATTTTCTTTTTCACCATAGGCCTCATTAGGCTCCCAAATATCCCCTCGCAGATTCTACAAAAAGAGTGTTTCCAAACTGCTGAATAAAAAAAAAGTTTAACTCTGTGAGATGAATGCACACATCACAAAGCAGTTTTTCAGATAATTTCTTTTAGTTTTTATCCTGGATTATTTGCTTTTTCACCATTGGCCTCAATGAGCTCCCAAATATTCACTCACAGAATGGACAAAAACAGTTTTTCCAAACTCCTAAATGAAAAGAAAGGTTTAACTCTGCAAGGTGAATTCACATATCACAAAGCAGTATCTCAGATAACTTCCTTTGCATTATTATCCTGGGAAAGTCGCTTTTTTGCCTTTGGCCTCAATGAACTCCCAAATGTCCATTCAGAGTAGACAATCACAGTCTTTCCAAACTGCTGAATCAAAAGAAAGGTTTAATGCTCTGAAACGAATGCACTCATCATGAAGTGGTTTCTCAGATTGCTTCCTTCTGGTTTTTATCCTCGGATGTTCACTCTTTCACCCTTGGCCTCAATGAGCTCCCAAATGTCCATTTGCAGAACGGACAAAAACAGTGATTCCAAACTGCTGAATCAAAAGAAAGGTTTAATTCTGTGGGATGAAGGCAAACATCACAAGAAGTTTCTCAGATAGCTTCCTTCTAGTTTTTATCCTGGGATATACCCCTTTTCACCATGGGACTTAATGAGTTCCAAAATGTCCATTCACAGAATGGACTAAAACAGGGTTTCCAAATTGGTGAATCAAGAGTAAGGTTTAACTCTGTGAGATAAATGCACACATCACAAAGCAGTTTCTCAGAAAGATTCTTTCTAGTTTTTATCTGAAGTTATTTTCTTTGTCAATATAGGCATCAATGCGCTCCCAAGTATCCCTTTACTATTCTAAAAAAACAGTGTTTCCAAATTGCTGAAGAAAAAGAAGGGTTTAATTCTAGTGATGAATGCACACCTCTTAAAGTGGTTTCTCAGATAGCTTCCTTCTAGTTTTTTTCCTGTGATTTTCGCTTTTTCACCATTGGCCTCAATGAGCTCCATAATGTCCTTTCGCAGAATGGGCAAGAAACAGTGTTTCCAAACTGCTGCATCAAAAGAATGGTTTAACTCTGTGAGATGAATGCACACATCACAAAGAAGTTTCTCAGAAAGCTTCTTTCTGGTTTTTATCTGAAGACATTTTCTTTTTCAGCATAGACCTCAATTTGCTCCCAAATATCTCTTCCCAGGTTATCCAAAAACAGTGTTTGCAAACTGATGAATGAAAAGAAAGTTTTAACTCTGTGAGATGAATGCACACATCACAAACCGGTTTCTAAGATAGCTATCCTCCAGTTTATATCTTGAGATATTGACTTTTCCGCCATTGTCCTCAATGAGCTCCTGAATACCACTTCAGAGATTCTACAAAAAAAGTGTTTCTAAACTGCTGAATGAAAAGTTATGTTTCACTCTGTGATATCAATGCACACATCACAAAGCAGAGTCTCAGATACTTCCTTCTAGTTTTTATCCTGCAGTATTCCCTTTTTCATCATAGGCCTCAATGAGCTCAGAAGTGTCCATTCACAGAATGGACAAAACAGTGTTTCCAAACTGCTAAATCAAAAGGAAGGTTTAACTCAGTGAGATGAATGTACACATCACAAAACACTTTCTCAGAAAGCTTCTTTCTGGTTTTTATCTGAGCATTTTTTTTTCTCCATAGGCCTCAATGTGCCCCCAAATATCCCTTCTCAGATTCTAAAAAAGAGTGTTTCAACACTGCTGAAAGAAATGCAAGATTTAACTCTGTGAGATGAATGAACAGAACACAACGTGGTTTCTCAGATAGCTTCCTTCTAGTTTTTACACTGGGATATTCCCTTTTGCACCATTGGTCTCAATGAGCTCCCAAATGTGCACTCACAGAATGGGCAAAAACAGTGTTTCCAAACTGCTGAATCACAAGAAAGATTTAACTATATGAAATCCATTAACACAGTACAAAGCAGTTTCTCAGGACGCTTCTTTCTATTCTTTATCTGTAGCTATTTTCTTTTTCACCATAGGCTTCACTGTGATCCCAAATATCCCTTCGCAGATTCTATAAAAACAGCATTTCCAATCTGCTGAATGAAAAGAAAGATTTAACTCTGCAGGATTAATGCACACATCACAGAGCAGAGTCTTAGATAGCTTCCTTCCAGTTTTTATCCTGGGGTATTCACTTTTTCACCATAGGCTTCAATGAGCTCACAAATGTCCATTTGCAGAAAGGACAAAACAGTGTTTCCAAACTGCTAAATCAAAAGGAAGGTTTAACTCAGTGAGACGAATGTACACATCACAAAACACTTTCTCAGAAAGCTTCTTTCTTGTTTTTATCTGAGCATATTTCCTTTTCACCATAGGCCTCAATTTGCCCCCAAATATCCCTTCTCAGATTCTAAAAAGGAGGTTTAAACACTGCTGAAAGAAAAGAAAGATTTAACTCTGTGAGATGAATGAACAGATAACAACGTGTTTTCTCAGATAGCTTTCTTCTAGTTTTTATCCTGGGATATTCCCTTTTGCACTATTGGTCTCAATGAGCTCCCAAATGTCCATTTTCATAATGGGCAAAAACAGTGTTTCCAAACTGCTGAATCAAAAGAAAGATTTAACTATGTGAGATCTATGCACACATCACAAAGCAGCTTCTTAGAACGCTTCTTTCTGGATTTTATCTATAGATATTTTCTTTTTCACCATAGGCCTCACTGTCATCCCAAATATCCCTTCACAGATTCTATAAAAACAGCGTTTCCAACCTGCTGAATGAAAAGAAAGGTTTAACACTGCAGGATCAATGCACCCATCACAGAGTAGTTTCTAAGATAGCTTCCTTCTAGTTTTTATCCTGGGATATTATCTTTTTCACCATTGACCTCAATGAGCTCCCAAATGTCCATTTGCAGAATGGGCCAAAACAGTGTTTCTAAACTGCTGAATCAAAACAAAGTTTTAGCTTTGTGAGATGAATGCACACATCACAAAGCAGTTTCTCAGAAAGCTTCTTTCTAGTTTTTATCTGAAGATATTTTCCTTTTCACCATAGGCCTCAATGAGCTCCAAAATATCCCTTTGCAGATTCTACAAAACCGTGTTTCCAAACTGCTGAATGAAAAGAAATGTTTAAGTCATGAGACAAATGCACTTATCACAAATCGGTTTCTCAGATAGCTTTCTTTTCATTTTTATCCTTGGATATTTTCTCTTTGACAATTGGCCTCAATGAGCTCATAAATGTCCATTCACAAAATGGACAAAAACACTGTTTCCAAACTGCTGAATGAAAAGAAAGTTTTAACACTGTGAGATGAATGCACAAATCACAGAGCAGTTTCTCAGGTAGATTCCTTCACGTTTTTCCTGTTATATTCACTTTTACACTATTGGCCACAAAGAGCTCCTGAAAGACCATTCACAGAATGCACAAAAGCAGTGTTTCCAAAATACTGAATCAAAAGAATGATTTAGCTCTGTAAGACGAATGCAAACAGCACAAAGCTGTTTCTCAGAAAGGTTCCTTCTGGCTTTTATCCTAAGTTATTCACTTTTTTGCCATTTGCCTCAATGAGCTGCCAAATGTCCATTTGCAGAATGGAAAAAAACACTGTTTCCATACTTCTGAATGAAAACAAAGTTTAACTCTATGACAGGATGAAGTCTCAATGAGCTCCCAAATATCCATTTGAAGAATGGGGAAAAACAATTTTTCCAAACTCCTGAATCAAAAGGAAGGTTTAACTCTGTGAGATGAACACACACATCACAAAGCATTTTCTAAGAAAGCTTCATTCTAGTTTCTGTGTGAAGATATTTTCTTTTTAACCATAGGCATTGATGATCTCCCAAATATCCCTTCACAGATTCTACACAGTTTTTCAAAACTGCTGAATGAAAAAAAAGTTTTAAATCTGTGAGATGAATGCACACAGCATAAAGCAGTTTCAATGAAAGCTACTTTCTAGTTTTTATCTGAAGATATTTTCTGTTTCACCTTAGGCCTCAATGTGGTCTCTATATCACTTCACAGATTCTACAAAAACAGTGTTTTCAAACTGCTGAATGAAAAGAACACTATACATCTCCAAGATGAATGCACCCATCAAAAAGTGGTTTCTCAGATAGCTTCCTTCTTGTTTTTATCCTGGGATATTCCCTTTTTTGCTATTAACCTCAACGGTCTCCCAAATGTCCATTGGCAGAATGGACAATGACAGTGTTTCCAAACAGCTGAATGAAAAGTAATTTTTAACTCTGTGATATGAATGCACACATCAGAAAGTGGTTTCTCAGATAGACTCATTGTAGTTTTTATCGTGAGATATTTGCTTTTTCACCACTGACCTCAAAGAACTCCTAAATTTCCATTTGTAGAATGGACAAAAATATTGTTTCCAACCTCCTGAAATGAAAAAAAATTTAACTCTCTGAGATGAATGCACACTTCACAAAGCAGTTTCTCAGAAAGCTTCATTCTAATTTTCATCTGAAGATATTTTGTTTTTCACCATAGGCCTCAATGCACTCCCAAATATCCCTTCACAGATTCTACAAAAACAGTGTTTCCAAGCGGCTGAATGAAAACAAAGGTTTAACTCTGTGAGCTGAATGCACACATCACAAAGCAGTTTCTCAGATAGCATCCTTCTAGTTTATCCTGGGATATATGCTTTTTCACCATTGGCCTGAATGGGCTCGAAAATGTCCATTTGCAGAATGGACAAAAACAGTGTTTCCAAATGGTTTAATGAAAAGCAACGTTTATCTCTTTGTGATGAATGCATTCATCACAAAGCTGTTTCTCAGGTGGCTTCACTCTGGTTTTTATCCTGGGATACTTGCTTTACCTCCACTGGCCTCAATGTGCTCCAAATATTCCTTCACAGATTCTACAAAAACACTGTTTCCACACAGCTGAATGAAAGGAAAGGTTTAACACTACGAGATGAATGCACACATCAAAAAGTGATTTCTCAGATAGATTCCTTTTAGTTTTTATCCTGGAATATTCGATTTTTCTCCATTGGCTTTGATGAGCTCCCAAATGTCCATTTGCAGAATTTACAAAACAGTGTTTCCAAACTGCTGAATCAAAAGAAATGTTTCTCTGTGAGATGAAATTACATATCAGAAAGCAGTTCCTCAGAAATCTTCCTTCTAATTTTTATCTGAGGATATTTTTCTTTTCACCATAAGCCTCAATGTGTTCCCAAGTATCCCTTCACAAATTCTTCACAAACAGTGTTTCCAAACCACTAATGGAAAAGAATACTTAAACTCTGCAATATGAATGCACACATCCCAAAGCAGTTTCTCATAGCTTCCTTCTGGGTTTTTACTTTTGGATATTCTCTTTTCTGTAATTGGTCTCAATGAGCTCCCAAAATCCATTTGCAGAATGGACAAAAACAGTGTTTCTGAACTGCTGAATGAAAAGAAATGTTTACCTCTGTGAGATGAATGCACACATCAGAAAGCAGTTTCTCAGATAGCTTCCTTCTAGTTTTTATCCTGGGATATACAATTTTCACCTTTGGCCTAAATGATCTCCCACATCTCCATTCACTGAATGGAAAAAAAAAAACAGTGTTCTGTGTTTGCAAACTGCTGAATCAAAAGAAAGTTTAAACTCTGTGAGATCATTGCACACATCACAAAGCAGTATCTCAGAAAGTTTTATTGTAGTTTTCTTCTGAAGATATTTTGTTTTTCACCTTAGGCCTCAATGCCCTCCCAAATATGCCTTCATAGGTTCTACAAAAACAGTGTTTCCAAACTGCTAAATGAAAAGAAAGCATTAACTCTATGAGACCATCAAAAAGTGGTTTCTCAGATAGCTTCATTCTGGTTTTTATCCTGGGATATGCACTCTTTTGCCATTGGCCTCAGAGCTCCCAAATATGCATTCGCAGAAGAGACAAAAATAGTGTTTCCAAACTGCTGAATCAAAAGAAAGGTTTAACTCTATGAGTTGAAGGAACCCATCACAAAGCAGTTTTTTCTGAAAGCTTCTTTCTAGCTTTAATCTGAAGATAATTTTTTTTACCATGGGCCCCATTATGCTCCTAAATACCCCTTAGCAGATTTTATAAAAACAGTTTTTCCAAACTAATGAATGAAAATAAAGGATTAACTCTATGAGAAGAAGGCAGACATCACAAAGCAGTTTCTCAGGTCGCTTCCTTCTAGTTTTTATCCTGCAATATTTGCTTTTTCAGAATTGGCCTAAATGAGCTCCCAAATATATGTTCCCAGAATATGCAAAAATAGTATTTACAAGCTGCCAAATCAAAAGGAAAATTTATCTGTGTGCAATGAATGCACATATCACAAAACTATTTCTCAAGTAGCTTAGTTCTGGTTTTTATCCTGGGATATTCACTTTTCCTCCATTGGCCTCAATGAGCTCCCAAATGTCCATTCACAGAAGGGACAAAAACACGGTTTCCAAACTGCTGAATCAAAAGAAAGGTTTAACTCTGTGAGATGAAGGAACTTATAACAAATCAGTTTCTCAGAAGGCTTCTTTCTAGTTTAAATTTGAAGATATTTTCTTTTTCACCATGGGACCAAATGTGCTCCCAATTACCCCTTCACAGATTCTACAAAAACAGTGTTTCCAAACAGCTGAATGAAAAGAAAAGATTACCTCTACAAGATGAAGGCAGACATCACAAAGCTTTTTCTCAGATGGCTTTCTTCTAGTTTTTACCCTGGGGTATTCACTTTTTCACCATTGGCCTCAATGAGCTGCCAAATGTACATTCACAAAATGGAGAAAGACAGTGTTCCCAATTGTTGAATCAAAAGAAAAGTTTAATTGTGTGAGATGAAGGAACACATCACAAAGCAGTTTCTCACAAAGCTTCTTTCTACTTTTTTTTCTTTTTTTTTTTCTATTTTTAATGTTTTTTTTTTTTATTATACTCTAAGTTTTAGGGTACATGTGCACATTGTGCAGGTTAGATACATATGTATACATGTGCCATGCTGGTGCGCTGCACCCACTAACGTGTCATCTAGCATTAGGTATATCTCCCAATGCTATCCCTCCCCCCTCCCCCGACCCCACCACTGAAGATATTTTCTTTTTCACCAGAGGCTCCAATGCCCTCCCAAACATCCCGTCATAGATTCTACAAAAACAGATTTTCCACACTACTGAATGAAAAGAATGATTTAACTCTATGAGATGAATGTATACATCACAAAATTGTTTCTCAGATAGCTTCCTTCTAGTTCTTATCCTGAGATATTTGATTTTTTGCCAATGACCTCAATGAGCTCCGAAATGAACATTCACAGAATTTACAAAAAACAATATTCCCAAACTGCTAAATCAAAAGAAAGGTTTAATTCTGTGAGATGAAAGGACATATCTCAAAGCATTTTCTCAGAAATCTTTCTAGTTTTTATCTGAAGATATTTTCCTTTCCACCATAGGTCTCAATGCGCTCCCAAATATCTCTTCACAGATTCATCAAAAATAGTGTTTCCAAACTGCTGAAGGAAAAGAATGGTTTAACTCCACGAGATGAATGCAGACATCTCAAAGCAATTTCTCATAGCTTCCTTCTGGGTTTTTGTTTTTGGATATTCTCTTTTTTACTATTGGCCTCAATGAGCTCAAAAATCAATTCACAGAATGGACAATCACAGTGTTTCCAAACTGCTGAATGAAAAGAAACATTTTTCTCAGAGAGATGAATGTGCATATGACAAAGTGGTTTCTCCAATAGCTTCTTTCCAGTTCTTATCCTGGTATATTCTTTTTTTCACCATTGGCCACAAAGATCTCCCAAATGTCCATTCATATAATGGACAAAAACAGGGTTTCCAAACTGCTGAATCAAAAGAATGGTTTAACCCTGTGAGATTCATGCACAAATCACAAAGCAGTTTCTCAGAAAGATTCTTTCTAATTTTTATCTGAAGATATTTCCTTTTTCATCATTAGCCTCAATCCGATCCAAAAGATTGCTTCTCAGATTCTACAAAAACAGCATTTCCACAGTGCTGAATCAAAAAAAATGAACCCTGCAAGATGAATGCACATATCACAAGCCAGTTTCTCAGATAAATTCCTTCTAGTTTTTATCCTGGTATATTAGCTTTTTCATCTTAGGCATCAACGGGCTCCCAAATCTCCTTTCACAGAAATGAGAAATCCGTCTTTCCAAATAGCTGAATGAAAAGAAAGATTTAACTCTATGAGATGAATGCACATATCACTAAGCTGTTTCTCATGTAGCTTCCTTCTAGTTTTTATCCTGGGATATTCGCTTTCTCACCACTGGCCTAGATGAGCTCCCAAATGTCCATTCACAGAAAGGACAAAAGCAGTGTTTACAAACTGCTGAATCAAAAAAAAATTTAACTCTGTGAGATGAAGGCACACATCACAACGCAGCTTCTCAGAAAGCTTCTTTCTATTTTTTATCTAAAGATATTTTCTTTTTAAGCATAGGCCACAACATTCCCCAATTATCCCTTCACAGATTCTACAAAAACAGTGTTTCCAAACTGCGGAACAAAAAGAAAGGTTTAATTATGAGTGATTAATGCACACATCACAAAACGATTTCTCAGGTAGCTTCTTTCTAGTTTTCATCATGGGATTTTCGGTTTTTTTTTTTTGTTTTTGTTTTTGTTTTTAATTTTTTTTTTATTATACTCTAAGTTTTAGGGTACATGTGCACATTGTGCAGGTTAGTTACATATGTATACATGTGCCATGCTGGTGCGCTGCACCCACTAACGTGTCATCTAGCATTAGGTATATCTCCCAATGCTATCCCTCCCCCCTCCCCCGACCCCACCACAGTCCCCAGAGTGTGATGTTCCCCTTCCTGTGTCCAAGTGATCTCATTGTTCAATTCCCACCTATGAGTGAGAATATGCAGTGTTTGGTTTTTTGTTCTTGCGATAGTTTACTGAGAATGATGGTTTCCAATTTCATCCATGTCCCTACAAAGGACATGAACTCATCATTTTTATGGCTGCATAGTATTCCATGAGGTATATGTGCCACATTTTCTTAATCCAGTCTATCATTGTTGGACATTTGGGTTGGTTCCAAGTCTTTGCTATTGTGAATAGTGCCGCAATAAACATACGTGTGCATGTGTCTTTATAGAAGCATGATTTATAGTCCTTTGGGTATATACCCAGTAATGGGATGGCTGGGTCAAATGGTATTTCTAGTTCTAGATCCCTGAGGAATCGCCACACTGACTTCCACAATGGTTGAACTAGTTTACAGTCCCACCAACAGTGTAAAAGTGTTCCTATTTCTCCACATCCTCTCCAGCACCTGTTGTTTCCTGACTTTTTAATGATTGCCATTCTAACTGGTGTGAGATGATATCTCATAGTGGTTTTGATTTGCATTTCTCTGATGGCCAGTGATGATGAGCATTTCTTCATGTGTTTTTTGGCTGCATAAATGTCTTCTTTTGAGAAGTGTCTGTTCATGTCCTTCGCCCACTTTTTGATGGGGTTGTTTGTTTTTCTCTTGTAAATTTGTTTGAGTTCATTGTAGATTCTGGATATTAGCCCTTTGTCAGATGAGTAGGTTGCGAAAATTTTCTCCCATGTTGTAGGTTGCCTGTTCACTCTGATGGTAGTTTCTTTTGCTGTGCAGAAGCTCTTTAGTTTAATTAGATCCCATTTGTCAATTTTGGCTTTTGTTGCCGTTGCTTTTGGTGTTTTGGACATGAAGTCCTTGCCCATGCCTATGTCCTGAATGGTAATGCCTAGGTTTTCTTCTAGGGTTTTTATGGTTTTAGGTCTAACGTTTAAATCTTTAATCCATCTTGAATTGATTTTTGTATAAGGTGTAAGGAAGGGATCCAGTTTCAGCTTTCTACATATAGCTAGCCAGTTTTCCCAGCACCATTTATTAAATAGGGAATCCTTTCCCCATTGCTTGTTTTTCTCAGGTTTGTCAAAGATCAGATAGTTGTAGGTAAGCGGCGTTATTTCTCAGGGCTCTGTTCTGTTCCATTGATCTATATCTCTGTTTTGGTACCAGTACCATGCTGTTTTGGTTACTGTAGCCTTGTAGTATAGTTTGAAGTCAGGTAGTGTGATGCCTCCAGCTTTGTTCTTTTGGCTTAGGATTGACTTGGCGATGCGGGCTCTTTTTTGGTTCCATATGAACTTTAAAGTAGTTTTTTCCAATTCTGTGAAGAAAGTCATTGATAGCTTGATGGGGATGGCATTGAATCTGTAAATTACCTTGGGCAGTATGGCCATTTTCACGATATTGATTCTTCCTACCCATGAGCATGGAATGTTCTTCCATTTGTTTGTGTCCTCTTTTATTTCCTTGAGCAGTGGTTTGTAGTTCTCCTTGAAGAGGTCCTTCACATCCCTTGTAAGTTGGATTCCTAGGTATTTTATTCTCTTTGAAGCAATTGTGAATGGGAGTTCACTCATGATTTGGCTCTCTGTTTGTCTGTTGTTGGTGTATAAGAATGCTTGTGATTTTTGTACATTGATTTTGTATCCTGAGACTTTGCTGAAATTGCTTATCAGCTTAAGGAGATTTTGGGTTGAGACGATGGGGTTTTCTAGATAAACAATCATGTCGTCTGCAAACAGGGACAATTTGACTTCCTCTTTTCCTAATTGAATACCCTTTATTTCCTTCTCCTGCCTGATTGCCCTGGCCAGAACTTCCAACACTATGTTGAATAGGAGCGGTGAGAGAGGGCATCCCTGTCTTGTGCCAGTTTTCAAAGGGAATGCTTCCAGTTTTTGCCCATTCAGTATGATATTGGCTGTGGGTCTGTCATAGATAGCTCTTATTATTTTGAAATACGTCCCATCAATACCTAATTTATTGAGAGTTTTTAGCATGAAGGGTTGTTGAATTTTGTCAAAGGCTTTTTCTGCATCTATTGAGATAATCATGTGGTTTTTGTCTTTGGCTCTGTTTATATGCTGGATTACATTTATTGATTTGCGTATATTGAACCAGCCTTGCATCCCAGGGATGAAGCCCACTTGATCATGGTGGATAAGCTTTTTGATGTGCTGCTGGATTCGGTTTGCCAGTATTTTATTGAGGATTTTTGCATCAATGTTCATCAAGGATATTGGTCTAAAATTCTCTTTTTTGGTTGTGTCTCTGCCCGGCTTTAGTATCAGAATGATGCTGGCCTCATAAAATGAGTTAGGGAGGATTCCCTCTTTTTCTATTGATTGGAATAGTTTCAGAAGGAATGGTACCAGTTCCTCCTTGTACCTCTGGTAGAATTCGGCTGTGAATCCATCTGGTCATGGACTCTTTTTGGTTGGTAAACTATTGATTATTGCCACAATTTCAGAGCCTGTTATTGGTCTATTCAGAGATTCAACTTCTTCCTGGTTTAGTCTTGGGAGAGTGTATGTGTCGAGGAATGTATCCATTTCTTCTAGATTTTCTAGTTTATTTGCGTAGAGGTGTTTGTAGTATTCTCTGATGGTAGTTTGTATTTCTGTGGGATCGGTGGTGATATCCCCTTTATCATTTTTTATTGTGTCTATTTGATTCTTCTCTCTTTTTTTCTTTATTAGTCTTGCTAGCGGTCTATCAATTTTGTTGATCCTTTCAAAAAACCAGCTCCTGGATTCATTGATTGTTTGAAGGGTTTTTTGTGTCTCTATTTCCTTCAGTTCTGCTCTGATTTTAGTTATCTCTTGCCTTCTGCTAGCTTTTGAATGTGTTTGCTCTTGCTTTTCTAGTTCTTTTAATTGTGATGTTAGGGTGTCAATTTTGGATCTTTCCTGCTTTCTCTTGTAGGCATTTAGTGCTATAAATTTCCCTCTACACACTGCTTTGAATGCGTCCCAGAGATTCTGGTATGTGGTGTCTTTGTTCTCGTTGGTTTCAAAGAACATCTTTATTTCTGCCTTCATTTCGTTATGTACCCAGTAGTCATTCAGGAGCAGGTTGTTCAGTTTCCATGTAGTTGAGCGGCTTTGAGTGAGATTCTTAATCCTGAGTTCTAGTTTGATTGCACTGTGGTCTGAGAGATAGTTTGTTATAATTTCTGTTCTTTTACATTTGCTGAGGAGAGCTTTACTTCCAACTATGTGGTCAATTTTGGAATAGGTGTGGTGTGGTGCTGAAAAAAATGTATATTCTGTTGATTTGGGGTGGAGAGTTCTGTAGATGTCCATTAGGTCTGTTTGGTGCAGAGCTGAGTTCAATTCCTGGGTATCCTTGTTGACTTTCTGTCTCGTTGATCTGTCTAATGTTGACAGTGGGGTGTTAAAGTCTCCCATTATTAATGTGTGGGAGTCTAAGTCTCTTTGTAGGTCACTCAGGACTTGCTTTATGAATCTGGGTGCTCCTGTATTGGGTGCATAAATATTTAGGATAGTTAGCTCCTCTTGTTGAATTGATCCCTTTACCATTATGTAATGCCCTTCTTTGTGTCTTTTGATCTTTGTTGGTTTAAAGTCTGTTTTATCAGAGACTAGGATTGCAACCCCTGCCTTTTTTTGTTTTCCATTGGCTTGGTAGATCTTCCTCCATCCTTTTATTTTGAGCCTATGTGTGTCTCTGCACGTGAGATGGGTTTCCTGAATACAGCACACTGATGGGTCTTGACTCTTTATCCAACTTGCCAGTCTGTGTCTTTTAATTGCAGAATTTAGTCCATTTATATTTAAAGTTAATATTGTTATGTGTGAATTTGATCCTGTCATTATGATGTTAGCTGGTGATTTTGCTCATTAGTTGATGCAGTTTCTTCCTAGTCTCGATGGTCTTTACATTTTGGCATGATTTTGCAGCGGCTGGTACCGGTTGTTCCTTTCCATGTTTAGCACTTCCTTCAGGAGCTCTTTTAGGGCAGGCCTGGTGGTGACAAAATCTCTCAGCATTTGCTTGTCTATAAAGTATTTTATTTCTCCTTCACTTATGAAGCTTAGTTTGGCTGGATATGAAATTCTGGGTTGAAAATTCTTTTCTTTAAGAATGTTGAATATTGGCCCCCACTCTCTTCTGGCTTGTAGGGTTTCTGCCGAGAGATCCGCTGTTAGTCTGATGGGCTTTCCTTTGAGGGTAACCCGACCTTTCTCTCTGGCTGCCCTTAACATTTTTTCCTTCATTTCAACTTTGGTGAATCTGACAATTATGTGTCTTGGAGTTGCTCTTCTCGAGGAGTATCTTTGTGGCGTTCTCTGTATTTCCTGAATCTGAACGTTGGCCTGCCTTGCTAGATTGGGGAAGTTCTCCTGGATAATATCCTGCAGAGTGTTTTCCAACTTGGTTCCATTCTCCCCATCACTTTCAGGTACACCAATCAGACGTAGATTTGGTCTTTTCACATAGTCCCATATTTCTTGGAGACTTTGCTCATTTCTTTTTATTCTTTTTTCTCTAAACTTCCCTTCTCGCTTCATTTCATTCATTTCATCTTCCATTGCTGATACCCTTTCTTCCAGTTGATTGCATCGGCTCCTGAGGCTTCTGCATTCTTCACGTAGTTCTCGAGCCTTGGTTTTCAGCTCCATCAGCTCCTTTAAGCACTTCTCTGTATTGGTTATTCTAGTTATACATTCTTCTAAATTTTTTTCAAAGTTTTCAACTTCTTTGCCTTTGGTTTGAATGTCCTCCCGTAGCTCAGAGTAATTTGATCGTCTGAAGCCTTCTTCTCTCAGCTCGTCAAAATCATTCTCCATCCAGCTTCGTTCTGTTGCTGGTGAGGAACTGCGTTCCTTTGGAGGAGGAGAGGCGCTCTGCGTTTTAGAGTTTCCAGTTTTTCTGTTCTGTTTTTTCCCCATCTTTGTGGTTTTATCTACTTTTGGTCTTTGATGATGGTGATGTACAGATGGGTTTTCGGTGTAGATGTCCTTTCTGGTTGTTAGTTTTCCTTCTAACAGACAGGACCCTCAGCTGCAGGTCTGTTGGAATACCCTGCCGTGTGAGGTGTCAGTGTGCCCCTGCTGGGGGGTGCCTCCCAGTTAGGCTGCTCGGGGGTCAGGGGTCAGGGACCCACTTGAGGAGGCAGTCTGCCCATTCTCAGATCTCCAGCTGCGTGCTGGGAGAACCACTGCTCTCTTCAAAGCTGTCAGACAGGGACACTTAAGTCTGCAGAGGTTACTGCTGTCTTTTTGTTTGTCTGTGCCCTGCCCCCAGAGGTGGAGCCTACAGAGGCAGGCAGGCAGGCCTCCTTGAGCTGTGGTGGGCTCCACCCAGTTCGAGCTTCCTGGCTGCTTTGTTTACCTAAGCAAGCCTGGGCAATGGCAGGCGCCCCTCCCCCAGCCTCGTTGCCGCCTTGCAGATTGATCTCAGACTGCTGTGCTAGCAATCAGCGAGATTCCGTGGGCGTAGGACCCTCTGAGCCAGGTGTGGGATATAGTCTCGTGGTGCGCCGTTTCTTAAGCCGGTCTGAAAAGCGCAATATTCGGGTGGGAGTGACCCGATTTTCCAGGTGCGTCCGTCACCCCTTTCTTTGACTCGGAAAGGGAACTCCCTGACCCCTTGCGCTTCCCAGGTGAGGCAAAGCCTCGCCCTGCTTCGGCTCGCGCACGGTGCGCACACACACTGGCCTGCGCCCACTGTCTGGCACTCCCTAGTGAGATGAACCCGGTACCTCAGATGGAAATGCAGAAATCACCCATCTTCTGCGTCGCTCACGCTGGGAGCTGCAGACGGGAGCTGTTCCTATTCGGCCATCTTGGCTCCTCCGGAATTTTCGTTTTTTGCAATTGACCTCAATGAGCCCCCATATGTCCATTTGCAGAATGGACAAAAATGTGTTTCCAAACTGTTATATGAAAAGAAATGTTTACCTCTGAGAGATGAATGCACACATCACAAATCACTTTATCAGATAGCTTCCTTCTAGTTTTCATCCTAGGATATTTGCTTTTTTGCCATTGGCCTCAATGAGCTACGAAATGTCTATTCACAGAATGGACAAAAACAGTGTTTCCAAATTTCAGAATCAAATGAAATTTTTAACTCTGTGAGATGAAGGCACACATCACAAAGCAGGTTCTAAGAAAGCTTCTTTCTAGTTTTTATCTGAAGACATTTTCTTTTCCAACACAGGCCTCAGTGCACTCCCAAATATCTCTTCACAGACTCTACAAAAACAGTGTTTTCAAACTGTGAATGAAAAGCCTGTTTAACTCTGTGAGATAAATGTACACATCAAAAAGTCTTTTCTCAGATAACTTCCTTCTAGTTTTATCCCAGAATACTCACTTTTTTGCCATTGGCTTCAAAGAGCTCCCAAATGTCCATTCACAGAATGAACAAAAATAATGTTTCCAAACTGCTGAATCAAAAGAAAGGTTTCACTCTGAGAGGTATGCAGACATCCAAAAGTGGTTTCTCACAAAGCTTCCTTCTAGTTTTATCCTGGGATATTCGTTTTTTCACCATTGGCCTCAATGAGCTCCCAAATGTCCATTCGCAGAATGGACAAAACAGTTTTTCCAAACTGCTGAATGAATATAAATGTTTCACTCTGTGAGATGAATGCACATTGGAAAGTGGTTTCTCAGAAAATTTCTTCCAGCTTTTATCCTGAGATGATCTCTTTTTCATCTTTGGCCTCAATGAGCTACCAAATATGCATACACAGAATGGACAAAAACAGTGTTTCCAAACTGTTGAGTCAAAAATTTTTTTTAACTCTGTGAGATGAATACACACATCACAAGGCCATTTCTCAGATAGATTCCTTTCAGTTTTTATCCAGGTATACTCACTATTTTGCATTTGACCTCAATGAGCTCCAAAATATGCATACATAGAGTGGAGAAAAACAGTATTTCCAATCTGCTGAATGAAAAGTGAGGTTTAACTCTGTGAGATGAATGCACACGTCACAAAGTGGTATCTCAGGTAGATTCCTTCTAGTTTTTATCATGGGGTAATCGATTTTTTGCAATTGGCTTGGATGAGCTCCCAAATGTCCATTCGCAGAATGGACAAAAACAATGTTTCCAAACTACTTAATAAAAAGAAAGGTTAAACTCTATGAGATGAATGAACACATCACAAAGTAGTTTCTCAGAAATCTTCTTTCTAGTTTTTATCTGAAGATATTTTGTTTTCATCATAGGCCTCAATGCACTCACAAATATCAATTGAGAGATTCTACAAAAACAGTGTTTCCAAACTTCTGAATGAAAAGGAGGGTTTCACTCTGCGAGGTGAATGCACACATCACAAAGTGGTTTCTCACACAGCTTCATTCTAGTTTTTGTCCTGCGATATTTGCTTTTTTGCCATTGGCCTGAATGAGGTCCCAAATGTCCATGCACAGAAAGGACAAAAGCAGTTTTTCCAAACTGCTGAATCAAAATAAGGATTTAAATCTGCCAAAAGAATGCACACATCCCAAGGCAGTTTCTCAGATAACTTCCTTCTAGATTTTATACTGGGATATTTGCTTTTTCACCATTGGCCTCAATGAGCTCCCAAATGTCCATTCACAGAATGGACAAAAAGAGTGTTTCCAAACTGCTGAATCAAAAAAAATTTTAACTCTGTGAGATGAATGCAAACATCACAAGGCAGTTTCTCAGATAAATTGCTTCAAGTTTTTATCCTGGTATAACAACTTTTTGCCTTTGGCCTAAATAAGCTCCCAAATCTCCATTTTCATAATGGATAGAAACAGTGTCTCCAACCTGCTGAATGAAAAGAAAGGTTTAACTCTATGAGATGAGTGAACACATCACAAAGTGGTTTCTCAGATATCTTTCTTCTAGTTTTTATCCTGGGATATTCGCTTTTTCACCATTGGCCTAGATGAGCTCAAAAATGTGCTTTTGCAGAATGGACAAAACAGTTTTTCCAAACTGCTGAATGAAAATAAATGTTTAACTCGGTGAGATGAATACACACATCACAAGACTGTTTCTCAGAAAGCTTCTTTCTACTTTTTATCTGAAGATATTTTCTTTTTCACCATAGGCCTCAATATGCTCCAAAATATCCCTTCACAGATCCTACAAAAACAGTGTTTCCAAACTGCTGAATGTAAAGAAAGGCTTATCTCTATGAGATGAATGCATGCATCACAAAGTTGTTTGTCAGATAGCTTCCTTCTAGTTTTTGTCCTGGGATATTCTCTTTTTTGCCTTGTCTTCATTGAGCTCCTAAATGTCCATTCACAGAATGGACAAAAATAATGTTTACAAACTGCTGTATGAAAAGAAAGTGTTAACTCTGTTAGATGAATGCACACATCACAAAGCAGTTTCTCAGATAGATTACTTCTAGTTTTTATCATGGGATATTCACTTTTTGCCATTGGCATCAATGAGATCCTAAATGTCCTTTTGCAGAATTGACCAAAACAGTGATTCAAAAATGCAGAATCAAAAGAAAGGTTTAGCTCTGTGAGATGAAGGCACACATCATAACGCAGCTTCTCAGAAACCTTCTTTCTAGTTTTTATCTAAAGATATTTCCTTTTTCACCATAAGCCTTAACACGCTCCCAAATTTCCCTTCACAGATTCTTAAAAAAAGTGTTTCCAAACTGCTAAATGAAAAGAAAAGTTTATCTCTGTGAGGCAAAGTCTCACATCACAAAGCAGTTTCTCAGATAGCTTTCTTCTAGTTTTTATCCTGGGATATTTGCTTTTTCCCTTTTGGCCTCAATGAGCTCCCAAATGTACTTTCACAGAATGGACAAAAACAGAGTTTCCAAACACCTGAATCAGAAGAAAAGTTTAACCTTGTGAGACGAATGCAAACATCACAAAGCACTTTCTCAGAAAGCTTCTTTCTTTTTTTAATCTGGAGATATTTTCTTTTTCACCAAAGACCTTAATGCACTCCGAATTATCCCTTTGCAGATTTTACAAAAAGAGTGTTTTCAAACTTCTGGCTAAAAAGGAAAGTTTAACTCTATGAGATGAATGCACACATTACAAAGTGGTTTCTCAGATAGATTCCTTCTAGGTTTTATCTGAAGTTACTTTATTTTTCACCATAGACATCAATGCACTCCTAAATATCACTTGACAGATTCTACAAAACAGTGTTTCCAAACAGTTGAATTCAAAGAAAACTTTGTCTATGAGAGATGATTGCCCACATCACAAAGTGGTTTCTCTGATACCTTCCTTCTAGTTTTTATCCTGGGACTTTTACTTTTTCACCATTGTCCCAAATAAGCTCAAAATGTCCATTGACAGAATGGACAAAAACATTGATTCAAAACTGTTGAATTGAAAGAAAGTTTTAACTCTGTGAGACGAATGCACACATCACAAAGCAGATCCTCAGATAGCTTCCTTCTAGTTTTTATCCAGGAATATTCACATTTTCCTCATGGGCCTCAATGAGCTCCCAAATGTCAATTTGCCGAATTGAAAAAGACAGTGTTTACACTGCTGTATGAAAAGAGAGGTTTAACTGTGCCAGAGGAATGTACACATGACAAAGCAGTTTCTCAGAAAGCTTCTTTCTAGTTTTTATCTGAGGATATTTCCTTTCTCACCATGGTCCTGAACACACTTCCAAATATCCCTTTTCATATTCTACAAAAAAATTGTTTCTGAACTGCTAAATGAAAAGAAGTTTTAACCCTGCAAGATGAATGCACACATCACAAAGAGGTTTCTCAGATAGCTTCCTTCTAGTTTTTTTTTTTTTTTTTTTTGACGGAGTCTCGCTCTGTCACCCAGGCTGGAGTTCAGTGGCGGGATCTCTGCTCACTGCAAGCTCCGCCTCCCAGGTTCACGCCATTCTCCTGCCTCAGCCTCCCAAGTAGCTGGGACTACAGGTGCCCGCCACTATGCCCGGCTAATTTTTTGTATTTTTAGTAGAGACGGGGTTTCACCTTTTAGCCGGGATGGTCTCGATCTCCTGACCTCGTGATCTGCCTGCCTCAGCCTTCCAAAGTGCTGAGATTACAGGCGTGAGCCACCGCGCCTGGCCCCTTCTAGTTTTTATCCTGGGATATTCACTTTTTCGCCATTGGCCTCAATGAGATCCCAAATGTCCATTCGCAGAATGGGCAAAATCAGTATTTCCAAACTGCTGAAACAAAAGAAAGGTTTAACTCTTTGAGATGAATGCACACATCACAAAACAGTATCTCAGAAAGCTTCTGTTAGTTTTCAATTTGAAGATATTTTCTTTTTCACCATAACCTCATTATGCTCCCAAATATCCTTCCACAGGTTCTGCAAAAAGAGTGCTTCCAAAATGCTGAATGAAAAGAATGCTTTAACTCTGCAAGCTGAATGCACACATCACAAATTGGTTTCACAGATAGCTTCCTTCTAGTTTTTATTGGGGATATCCAGTTTTACACAATTGGCCTCAAAGATCTCCAAAATGTGCATTTGTAGAATAGACAAAAACAGTTTTTCCAAACTACTTAATCAAAAGAAAGGTTTATTTCTGTGAAATGAATGCACATATCACAAAGCAGTTTCTCAGAAAATTATTTCTGGTTTTTATCTGAAGATATTGTCTCTTTCACCATACGCCTCAATGCTCTACCTAATATCTGTTGGCAGATTCTATAAAAAAATTGTTTCCAAACTTCTGAATGAAAAGAAGGGTTTAACTCTGTGAGATAAATGCAGACATCACAGAGCAGTTTCTCAGATAGCTTCCTCCTAGTTTTTATCCTGGCATATGCATGTTTTTGCCTTTGGCCTCAACGAGCTCCCTAAAGTCCATTGGCAGAATGGACAACAATGGTGTTCTCAAACTGCTGAATGAAAAGAAAAGTTTAACTCTGCGAGATGAATGCACACATCATTAAACAGTTTCTCAGATAACTTCTTTCTAGTTTTTATCCTGGGATGTTCACTTTTTCTCCATTGGCCTAAATGCACTCCAATTGTTCATTCGCAGAATGGAGAAAAACAGTGTTTCCAAACTGCTGAATGAAAAGAAAGGTTTAACTCTGCAAGCTGAATGCACACATCCCAAAGCAGTTTCCCAGATAGCTTCCTCCTGATGTTTATCCAGGGACATTCGATTTTTGGCCATTGGCTTCATTGCGCTCCCAAATGTCCATTCACAGAATGAACAAAAACATTGTTTCCAAACTGCTGAATCAAAAGAAAGGTTTAACTATGTGAGATCAATTCACACATCACAAAGCAGTTTCTCAGACATCTTTTTTCTAGTTTTTATCTGAAGATATTTTCTTTTTCACCATAGGCCTCAATGTACTCCCAAATATCCCTTCACAGATTCTACAAAACAGTGGTTCCAAACTGCTGAAAGAAGAAAGTTTTAACTCTATGAGATGAGTGCACTCATCAGAAAGCAGTTTCTTAGAGAGCTTCTTGATAGTTTTTGCAATGGGATATTCGTTTTTTTGCCTTTGGCCTCCATTATCTACCAAATGTCCATTCGGAGAATGGACGAAAAAATTGTTTTAAAACTGCTGAATCAAACAAAGGTTTAACTCTGTGAGATGAATGCACACACCACAAAGCAGTTTCTAAGAAAGATTCTTCCTAGTTTTTATCTGAAGGTATTTTCTTTTTGTACATATGCCTCATTGAGCTTCCAAATGTCCATTTGCATATTCTACAAAACAGTTCTTCCAAAAGCACAGTTGAAAAGCAGAATAAAAAGAAAGATTAAACTCCTCAACCTTAATGCAAACATGACAAATCGGTTTCTCAAATAATTTCCTTCCAGTATTTATCCTGGGATAATTGCTTTTTTGCCTTTGGCTTCAATGAGCTCCAAAATGTCCATTCACAGAATGGACAAATACAGTGTTTCCAAACTGCTGAACCAAAAGTAAAATTTATTCTTTGAAATCAATGCACACATCACAGAACGGTTTCTCAGATAGCTTCCTTCTAGTTTTTATCCTGGGATATTCTGTTTTTCTCCACTGGCCTCAATGAGCACCCAAATGTTCACTTGCAGATTGGACAAAAACAGTGTTCCACAAGAGCTGAATGAAAAGAAAGTTTTAATTCTGTGAGTTGAATACAAACATAACACAGTGGTTGCTGAGATAGCTTCCACTTAGTTTTTTCCCTGGGACACTTGTTTTTTTGCTATTGGCTTCAATGAGCTTCAAAATGTCCATTCTCAGAATGGACAAAAACAATGTTTCCAAAATGCTTAATCAAAAGAAAGTTTTAACTGTGTGAGAAAAATGCACACATCACAAAGCAGTTTCTCAGAGAGCTTCTTTCTAGTTTTTATTTGAAGATATTCTATCACCATAGGCCTCAATGCACTCCCAAATATCCCTTCGCAGTTTCTACAAAAACAGTATTTTCAAACTGCTGAATGTAAAAAAGTTTTAACTCTGTGAGATGAATGCTCCCATCACAAAGTGGTTTCCCAGATAGTTTCCTTCTGTTTTTTATCCTGGGATATTCGCTTTTCCTCATTGGCCTAAATTAGATCTCAAATATCCATTTGCAGAATGGACAAAAACAGTGTTTCCAAGCTGCTGAATCAAAATAAAGGTTTCACTGTGTGAGATGAATGCACATATCACAAAGCAGTTTCTCAGATAGCTTCTTTCCAGTTTTTATCCTGGGATATTCACTTTTTCCTGATTGACTTCAAACAGCTCCCAAATGTCCATTTTCAGGATGGAAAAAAACAGTGTTTCCAAACTCCTGAATTAAAAGAAAGTTTTCATCTGTGAGATGAATGCAAACACCACAAAGCAATTTCTCAGAAAGCTTCTTTCTAGTTTTTAACTGAAGATATTTTATTTTTCACCATAGGCCTCATTGTGCTCCAAATATTCCCTCATAGATTCTACAAAAATGGTGTTTCCAAACTGATCGATGAAAAGAAAGGAGTAACTCTGCAAGATGAATACACACATCACTAAGCAGTTTTTTTAAGATAATTTCCTTCTAGGTTTTATCATGCTACATTTGCATTTCCCCATTGGCCTCAATGAGCTTCCAAATGTCCAATCACAGAATGGACAAAAACAGTGTTTCCAAACTGCTGAATCAACATAAAGTTTTAACTCTCTGAGATGAATGCATACATCACAAGCTGTTTCTCAGATAGCTTATTTCTAGTTTTCATCTGAAGATACTTTCGTTTTCATCATAGGTTTCAATGCACTCCCCAATATCCATTCACAGATTTTTTAAAAAAATATTGCTTCCAAACTGTTGAAGGAAAAGAAAGGTATAACTCTGTGAGACGAATTCACACATCACAAAGATATTTCTCGGATAGCTTCCTCTTAGTTTTTATCTTGGGACATTCAATTTTTCACCCTTGGCCTCAATGAGCTCCCAAATGTCCATTTGCAGATCTACAAAAAAACGGTTCCCAAACTGCTGAATGAAAAGAAAGATTTAATTCCTTGAGATGAATGCTCACATGACATAGATGTTTCTCAGATAGCTTCCTTCTAGTTTTTGTCATGGGATATTCACTTTTTTGTCATTGGCCTTGATTAGCTCCCAAATATCCATTCACAGAATGGACTAAAACAGTGTTTCCTAACTTCTGAAACAAAAGAAAGGTTTAACTCTGTGAGATGAAAGCACACATCACAAAGCAGTTTCTCAGAAAGCTTCTTTCTAGTTTTTATCTGATGATATTTACCTTAGGCCTCAATGCACCACAAATTTCCATTTGCAGATTTTAGAAATCAGTGTTTCCAAACAGCTGAATGAAAAGAAAGATTTTACTCCTCGAGGTGAACGAACACATCACAAAGTGGTTTCTTAGATTGCTTCCATCTCTTTGTATGGTGGGATATCCTCTTTTTCACCTTTGGCCTCAATGAGCTTCCAAATGTAGATGTGTAGAATGGAAAAAACAGTGTTTCCAAACTGCTGAATCAAGAGAAAGTTTTTGTCTCTCTGAGATGAAAGCACACATCACAAAACGGTTTCTCAGATAGATTCCACTTAGTGTTTATACTGGGATGTTCACTTTTTCACCATTGGCCTCAATAAGCTCCCAAATGTCCATTCACAGAGTGGACAAAAGCAGTGTTTTCAAACTGCTGAATTAAAAAAAGGTTTATCTCAGTGAGATGAATGCTTACTTCACAAAGCAGTTTCTCAGAAATCCTCTTTCTAGTTTTTATCTGAAAATATTTTCTTTTTCACTATAGGCCTCAATGCGCTCCCCACTGTCCCTTCTCAGATTCTAGGAAAACACCTTTTCCAAACTGCTGAATAAAAAGAAAGATATAACTCCTCGAGCTGAATGCACACATCACAAACAGGTTTATCAGATAGCTTCCTTCTGTTTTCATTCTGGAATATTCGATATTTCACCATTGACATCAGCAAAGTCCCAAATGTCCTTTTGCAGAATGGACAAAAGCAGTGTTTCCAAACTGATGAATCAAAAGAAAGTTTAAATCTGTTAGATGAATGCACACATCACAAAGTGGTTTCTAAGACAGTTTCCTTCTGTTTTTATTCTGGGATATCCCCGTTTTTGCCATTGGCATCAAAGAGCTCCAAAATGTCCATTCGCAGAATGGACAAAAACAGTGTTTCTAAACAGCTGAATGAACACAAATGTTTAACTCGTGAGATTAATGCACACATCACAAAGCAGTCTCTCAGAAAGCTTCTTTCTAGATTTATCTGAAGATATTTTCTTTTTCACCATAGGCCTCAATGAGATCCCAAATATCCCTTTGCAGATTCTTCAAAAACAGTTTTTGCAAACTGCTGAATAAAAAGAGAGTTTTAACTTGGCAAAATGAGTGCACACATCAAAAGCAGTTTCTCAGATAGCTTCCTTGTAGTTTTTATCCTTGTATGTTTGCTTTTTTGCCATTGACCTCAATGAGCTCCCAAATGTCCATCAGGATGAAAAAAAACAGTGTCTCAAAACTGCTGAATGAAAGGAAATGTTTAACTCTGTGAGATTAATGCATACATTACAAAGCAGTTTCTCAGAGAGCTTCCACATAGTATTCATCCTGGGACGTTTGATTTCTTGCCATTGGCCTCACTGAGCTCCCAAATGTCCATTCACAGAATGGACAAAAATAGTTTCCAAATTGCAGAATCAAAAGAAACTTTTAACTCTTTGAGATGAGTGCATATGTCACAAAGCAGTTTCTCAGAAATATTCTTTCTAATTTTTATATGAAGGTATTTTGTTTTTAACCATAGACCTCAATGTGCTCCAAAATATTTCTTTGCAGATGCTACAAAAAAGAGTTTTTCCAAACTGCCTAATGAAAAGAAAGGTTTACCTCAGTGAGATGAATGAATACATCACAAAGAGGTTTCTCAAGTAGGTTCAGTCTCATCTTCTTCCTGGGATAGTCCCTTTTTCGACATTGGCCTCAATGAGTTCTCAAATGTCCATTCAGAATGGAAGAAAAAAGCAGTTTTTCAAAACTGTTGAAGGAAAGGAAAGATTTAACTCTGCTAGATGAATGCACACATCACAAAGCAGCTTCACAGAGTGCTTCCTTCTGTTTTTGTTCTGGGTTATTTGCTTTTTTTTTTGCAATTGGCCCCCATGAGCTCCCTAAAGTCCATTTGAAAAATTGACAAAAACAGTGTTTCCAAACTGCTGAATGAAAAGAAAGATTTAAGTCTGTGAGATGAATGGAAGCACCCAAACTGTTTTCTCAGATAGCTTCCTCTAAGTTTTTATCCTGGGACATTCCCTTTTTCACTATTGGCTTGAAAGAGCAGCAAAATGTCCATTTGCAGAAAAGACAAAAACAGTGTTTCCAAACCGCTGAATCAAAAGAAAGTTTTAACTCTCTGAGACAAATGCACACATCACAAAGAGGTTTCTCATAGTGCTTCCTTCTAGTTTTTATCCTGGGATATTCTCTTCTTTGCCATTGACCTCAATGAACTCCCAAATTTTCATAATGGGCAAAAACAAAGTTTAAAAACACTGAATCAAAAGAATGGTTTAACCCTGAGAGATGAATGCACACATCACAAAGCAGTTTTTCAAAAACATTTTTTTGTTTCCATCTGAAGATGTTTTCTTTTCAACCATAAGCCTCAATTCACTCCCAAATGTCCATTCATAGATTCTACAAAAAAAGTGTTTTGGAACTGCAGAATGAATAGAAAGATTTAACTCTGTGAGATGAATGCACACATCACAAAGTGGTTTCTCAGACAGATTCCTCTTAGTGTTTATCCTGGGGCATTCCATTTTTTGCCATTGTCCTTAATGAACACCAAAATGTCCATTCACAGCATGGACAAAAACAGCATTTCTAAACTTCTGACTCAAAAGAAACATTTAACTCTATGAGATGAATGCACACATCACAAAGAAGTTTATCAGAAAGCTTCTTTCTAGTTTTTATCTGAAGGTATTATATTTTCACCCCAGGTCTCAATGTGCACCCAAATATCCCTTTGCAGATTCTGGTTTCTCAGATAGATTCCTCTTAGTGTTTATCCTGGGGCATTCCATTTTTTGCCATTGTCCTTAATGAACTCCAAAAGGTCCATTCAGAGAATGGACAAAAACAGTGTTCCTAAACTGTTGAATCAAAAGAAATGTTTAATTCTGTGAGATGAATGCAGACATCACAAAGCACTTTCTCAAAAAGCTTCTTTCTGGTTTTTATCTGAAGATCCCTTCACATATTCTACATAAACAGTGTTTCCAAACTGTTGAAGCAAAAGAAACTTTTAACTCTGTGAGATGAATACACACATCAGAAAAATGTTTCTGAGATAGATTTCATCTAGTTTTTATCCTGGCATATTCACTTTTTCACCATTGGCCTCAATGAGCTCCCAAATATCCAGACAAAAACAGTGTTTCCAAACTACTGAACAAAAAAAAAGGATTAGCTATGTGATATGAATGCACACATAACAGAGAGGTATCTCAGATAGTTTCCTTCTAGTTTTTATCTGGTGATATTTGCTTTTTTGCCATTTGCCTCAATGAGCTCCTATATGTCCACCACAGAATGGACAAAAACAGTTTTTCCAAGCTGCTAAATGAAAAGAAAGTTTTAACTCTGCAAGTTGAATGCACATTTCACAAAAAGTTTTCTCAGATAGCTTCCTTCTTCTTTTCATCCTGGGACATTGAATTTTTCATCATTGGGCTTAAAGGACCCCCAAATGTCCAATTGCAAAATAAACAAAAACAGTGTTTCCAAACAACTGAATTAAAAGAAAGGTGTAACTTTGTGAGATGAATGCATACAACATAAAGCAGTTTCTCAGAAAGCTTCTTTCTATTTTTCATCTGAAGGTATTTTCTTTTCCATCATAGGCCTCAATGTGCTCCCAAATATACCCTCACAGATTCTACAAAAAGAGTGTTTCCAAACTGCTGAATGAAAAGAAAGGTTTAACTCTGCGAGATGAATGTGCACATCACAAGGCAGTTTCTCAGATAGCTTCCTCTGAGTTTATATCCTGTGACATTCAATTTTTCGCCTTTTGCCTCAATGAGCTCCCAAATGTGCATTCCAAGGATGGACAAATAAAGCGTTTCCAAACTGCTGAATCAAAAGAAAGGTTTAACTCTGTGAGATGAAACACATCACAAAGGAGTTTCTCAGATAGTTTCCTCTTAGTTTTTATCCTGGGACAATTCGATTTTTTGCCATTGGCCTCAAAGAGCTCCCAAATGTCCATTCAGAGAATGGACAAAAACAGTGTTTCTAAACTTTTGAATTCAAAGAAAGGTTTAAATGTCTGAGATGAATGCACACATCACAAAGCAGTTTCTCAGAAAGCTACTTTCTCATTTTTATCTGAAGATATTTTCTTTTTCAACATAGGCCTCAAAGCACTCCCAGATATCCCTTCAGAGATTCTACAAAAACAGTGTTTCCAAGCTGCTGAATGAAAAGAAATGTTTAACTTGCTTGACGAATGTGCACATAACAAAGCAGTTTCTCAGATAGCTTCCTCTGAGTTTATATCCTGTGACATTCAATTTTTCACCATTGTCCTCAAAGAGCTCTGAAATGTGCATTTCCGGAATGGACAAATAAAGTGTTTCCAAACTGCTGAATCAAAATAAAGTCTAACTCTGTGAGATGAATGCACACATCACAGAGCAGTTTCTCAGAAAGCATTTTTTCTAGCTTTTATCTACATATATTTTCTATTTGAACATAGGTCTCAATGCACTCTGAAATATCCCTTCGCAGATGCTAAAAAACGAGTTTTTCCAAACTGCTTAATGAAAAGGAAGGTTTACCTCTTTGAGATGAATGAACACATCATAAAAAGTTTTCTAATATAGCTTTCTTCTAGTTTTCATCCTGAAATATTTCCTTTTTCGCCATTGACCTCAATGAGCTCCCAAATTTCCATTTGCAGAATGGAAAAAACAGTGTTTCCAAACTTCTGAATCAAAAGAAAGTTTTAAGTCTGTGAGATGAATGCACACATCACGAAGTAATTTCTCAGAAAGTTTCTATTTTTATCTGAAGATATTTTCTTTTTCACCATAGGCCACAATGTGCTCCCAAATATTTATTTGCAGGTGCTACAAAAACAGTTTTTCCAAACTGCTTAATGAAAAGAAAGTTTTACCTCAGCAAGATGAATGCACACATCACAAGGGTTTCTCAGATAGCTTCCTTCTCATTTTCTTCCTGGGATATTCGTTTCTTCGCAGTTGGCCTCAGTGAGCTCCCACATGTCCATTTGCAGAATGGAAATTAAACAGTGTTTCAAAACTGCTGAGTGAAAGGACAAGTTTAACTCTGCTAGAGGAATGCACACATCACAAAGCAGTTTCACAGATAGCTTCTTTCTGTTTTTATTCTAGATTATTTGCTTTTTTGCCATTGGCCTCAATGAGCTCCCTAAAGTCCGTTTTCAAAAAAAGACAAAAACAGTGTTTCCAAACCACTGAATCAAAAGAAAATTTTAACTCTCTGAGACAAATGCACACATCACAAAGCAGTTTCTCATAGAGCTTCCTTCTAGTTTTTATCCTGGGTTATTTTCTTCTCACCTTTGACCTCAAAGAGCTCCCAAATGTCCATTCACAGAATGGACAAAAACAGTGTTTAAAAGCTGCTGAAACAAAAGAATGGTTTAACCCTGTGAGACGAGTGCAAACATCACAAAGCAGTTTTTCAAAAAGATTTTTTATAGTTTCTATTTGAAGATGATTTTTTTCAACCATAGGCCTCTGTTCACTCCCAAATGTCCATTTGTAGATTCCAAAAAAAACAGTGTTTCCAAACTGCTGAAAGAAAAATAAGATTTACATCCTCAAGCTGAATGCACACATCACAAAGAGCTTCCTTCTGCTTTTATAGCTTCCTCAGATAGCTTCCTTCTGTTTTTATACTATGATGTTCACCTTATTGCCATTGGCCTCAATGAGCTCCCAAAAGTCCATTGACAGAATTGACAAAAACAGTGTTTCCAAACTGCTGAACCAAAAGAAAGTTTTAACTCTGTGCAGTGAATGCACACATCACAAAATGGTTTCTCAGATAGCTTCCTTCCAGTTTTAATCCTGGGATATTTGCTTTTTCCCCATTGGTCTCAATGAGATCCCAAATATCCATTCATAGAATGGACAAAAACAGTGTTTCCAAACTGCTGAATCAATAAAAGGTTTAACTCTGTGCAATGAATGCACACATCACAAAGCAGTTTTTCAGAAAGCTTCTTTCTAGTTTTTACCTGAAGACATTTTCTTTTTCATCATAAGCCGCACTGTGCTCCCAAATATTTATTTGCAGATTCCACAAATACAATTTTTCCAAACTGCTTAATGAAAAGAAAGGTTTATCTCTGCGAGATAAATGCACACATCACAAAGACTTTTCTCTGTCAGCTTCTTTCTGGTTTCTTCCTGGGATATTCATTTTTTCGCCATTAACCTCAAAGAGCTCCTAAATGCCCATTCACAGAAAGGAAAAAAGCAAAGTTTCAAAACTTCAGAATGAAAGAAAAGGTTTAACTCTGCAAGATGAATGCACACGTCACAAAGCAGTTTCTCAGATAGCATCCTCTTGTTTTTATTCTGGGTTATTTTCTTTTTTGCCATTGGCCAAATGAGCTCCCAAATATCCAGACGAAAACAGTTTTTCCAAACTACTCAATCAAAAGAAAGTTTTAACTATGTAAGATGCATGCACACACAGCAAAGAAGTTTCTCAGAAAGCTTCTTTCTGGTTTTTATCTGAAGATATTTTCTTTTTCATCACAGGCCTCAAGGTGTTCCCAAATATCCCTTGGCAGATTCTGCAAAACCAGTGTTTCAAAACTGCTGAATGAAAAGAAAAGTTTAACTCAGAGAGATGAATGCACACATCACAAAGCAGTTTCTCATATAGCTCACTTCTACTTTTTATCTGTTGATATTCCCTTTTTCACCATTGGCCTCAATGAGCAACCATATGTCCACTCACACAATGGACAAAAATAGTGTTTCAAAACTGCGGAATGAAAAGAAAGGTTTAACTCAGTGAGATGAGTTTACATATCACATAAAGGTTTCTCAGATAGCTTCCTTCTACTTTTCATCCTGGGATATTCGATTTTTTGTCATTGGCCTGAATGAGCTCTGAAATGTCCATTCCCAGAATGGAAAAAATCAGTTTTTCCAAACTGCTAAGTCTAAAGAAAGGTGTAACTTTGTGAGATGAATGCACAGAACACAAAGCAGTTCCTCAGAAACTATTTTTCGACTTTTTATCTGATGATAGTTTCTTTTTCACCATAGGCCTCAATTTGCTCCCAAATATCTTATACCAGATCCTACAAAAACAGTTTTTCCAAACTTCTTAACGAAAATAAAGATATACCTCTGCAAGACGAATGCACACATCACAAAGAGGTTCCTGAGATAGCTTCTTTCTGGTTTTCTTCGTGGGATATTCACTTTTTCGACTTTGGCCTCAAAGAGCTCCCAAATGTCTTTTCACAGAATGGACAAAAACATTGTATCCAAGTTGCTGAATCGAAAGTAAGTTTTAACTCTGTGAGATAAATGTCCACATCACAAAGCGGTTTCTCATATACATTCTTTCTGTTTTATTCGGTGATATTCACTTTTTCGCCTTTTGCCTCAATGAGCTCCCAAAGGTCCATTTGCAGAATAAACGAAAATAGTGTTTCTAAACTGCTGAATCAAAAGAAAGGTTTAACACTGCAAGATGAAGGCACACATCACAAAACAGTTCCTTAGATAGCTTCCTTCTAGTTTTTAACTTGGGATATTCACTCTTTCACCATTGGCCTCAATGAGCTCCCAAATTTGCATTCCCAGATTGGACAAATAAAGTGTTTCCAAACTGCTGAATCAAAAGAAAAGTTTAAATCTGTCAGGTGAATGCACACATCACAAAGAAGTTTCTCAGAATGCTTCTTTCTAGTTTTTATCTGCAGATATTTTCTTTTTGAACAAAGACCTCAATGTGCTCCCAAATAAACCTTTGCAGAGGCTACAAAAACAGTTTTTCCAACCTGATTAATGAAAGGAAATGTTTACCTCTGTGAGATGAATGAACACATCACAAAAAGATTTCTAATATAGCTTACTTCTAGTTTTCATCCTGAAACATTCCCCTTTTCACTATTGGCCTCAATGAGCTCCAAGTTGTCTGTTTGGAGACTCTACAAAAACTGTGTTACCAAACTGCTGAATGAAAAGAAATATTTAACTCCTCAAGCTGAATGCACACATCACAAAGCACTTTTTGAGATGGCTTCCTTTTCGTTTTTATCCTGGGATATTCAATATTCACCATAGGCCTTAGTGAGCTCCCATATGGCCATCTGCAGAATGGATATAAACAGTGTTTCCAAACTGTTGAATCAAAAGAAAAGTTTGACTCTGTGAGAGGAATTCACATATCTCAAAGCAGTTTCTCAGAAAGCTTCTTTCTAGTTTTTAATCTGAAGATATTTTCTTTTTCACCATAGGCCTCAATGAGCTATGCAAGTATAACTTCACAAATTCTACAAAAACAACGTTACCAAACTGCTGAATGAAATATATGATTTAACTCCATGAGCTGAATACACACATCACAAAGAGGTTTCTCAGATAGTGCCTTGTAGTTGTTTCCTGGAATATTCATTTTTTTCACCTTTTGCCTCAATGAGCTCCAAAAAGTCCATTTGCTGAATGCACAAAAACAGTGTTTCCAAACTGCTGAGTCAAAAGAAAGATTAAACTCTGCTAGATGAATGCAAACATCACAAAAGGGTTTCTCAGATAGCTTCCTCGTAGTCTTTATCTGGGGATATTTTCTTTTTCACCATTGTCCTCAATGAGCTCCCAATTGTCCATTTGGAGATTCTACAAAACCCGTGTTACCAAACTGCTGAAGAAAAAAAAAATATTTAATGCCTCAAACTAAATGCACACGTCAAAAAGCGATTTCTGATATAGCTTCAACTAGTTTTTATCCTGGGATATTCACTGTTTCACCATAGGCCTTAATGAGCTCCTGTATGGCCATCCACAGGAATGGACATAAACAGTGTTTCCAAACTGCTGAATCAAAAGAAATGTTTACCTCTGTGAGACAAATGCACACATCACAAACAGTTTCTCAGAGAGCTTCTTTCTATTTTTTACCTGAAGATAATTTATTTTACACCATAGGCCTCAATGTGCTCCCAAACATCCCTTTGCAGATTCTACAAAAAAAGTGTTTCCAAACTGCTGAATAAAAAGAAGGGTTTAACTCTGTGAGATGAATGCAAAAATCACAAGGTGGTTTCTCAGATAGCTTCCTTTTAGTTTTTATACTGGGACATTTGATTTTTTGCCATTGGCCTCAATGAGCTCCCAGATGTTCATACTCAGAATGGACAAAAACAGTGTTTCCAAACTGTTGAATTGAAAGAAAAGTTTAATTCTGTGAGGTGAGTGCACACATCTAAAAGCAGTTTCTCAGCAATTTTCTTTCTTGTTTTTATCTGAAGATATTTTCTTTTGGACCATAGGCCTCAATGCGGTATGCAAATAACCCTTCACATGGTCTACAAAAACATGTTTCCAAACTGCTGAATGAAATGTAGGACTTAACTCCATGAGCTGAATATGCACATCACAAAGCAGTTTCTCAGATAGTGCCTTGTAGTTTTTTCCAGGGATATTCTCTTTTTCACCTTTTGCCTCAATGAGCTCCAAAATGTCTATTCACAGAATGCACAAAAACAGTGTTTGCAAACTGCTGAATCAAAAGAAAGGTTTAACTCTGCAAGATGAATGCACACATCACAAAGCAATTTCTCAGATAGCTTCTTTGTAGTTTTTTTCTGACAATATTTTCTTTTTCAACATAGGCCTCAATGTGCTCCAAAATATCTCTTTGCAGATTCTACAAAAACAGCATTTCCAATCTGCTGAATGAAAAGAAATGTTTAACTCTGCGAGATGAATGGACACATCACAAAGGAGTTTCTCAGGTAGCTTCTTTCTAGTTTTAATCCTAGGATAATCACTTTTTAGCCATTGGCCTCAGTGAGCTCACAAATGTCCACTCACAGAATGGACAAAAACAATGTTTCCAAACTGCTGAATGAAAAGAAAATGTTTATCTCTGTGAGATGAATGCACACAACACAAAGCAGTTTCTCAAAAAGTTTCATTCTAGTTTTTATCTGAAGATATTTTCTTTTTCACCACAGGCCTTAACATGCTCACAAATTTTCCTTCACGGATCCTACCAAAGCAGTCTTTCCAAACTGCTGAATGAAAAGAAAGGTTTATCTCTACGAGATGAATCCACACATCACAAAGGGGTGTCTAAGATAGTTTCCTTCTAGTTTTTATCCTTGAATATTCACTTTTTCACTATTGGCCTCAATGAGCTCCCAAATATCCAATTGCAGAATAGAGAAAAACAGAGTTTACAAACTGCTGAGTCAAAATAACGTTTTAACTATGTGAATTAAATGCACCCATCACAAAGCAGTTTCTCAGAAAACTTCTTTCTAGTTTTTATCTGAAGATATATCCTTTCTCACCGTAGGCCTCAAGGCGCTCCAAAATATCCCTTCTGAGATTCTACAAAAACATTGTTTCCAAACTGCTAAATAAAAAAGAATGCTTTAAATCTGTGAGATGAATGCACCATTACCAAAGCAGTTTCTCAGAATGCTTCTTTCTAGTTTTTATCTGAAGATGTTTTCTATTTCACCATAGGCCTCAATGGGCTCCCAAATATACCTTCATCGATTCTGCAATAACAGTGTTTCCAAACAGCTGAATGAAAAGGAAGTTTTTAAACTGTGAAGTGAATGTACACATCACAAAGCTGTTTCTCAAAAGCTTCTTTCTAGTTTTTATGTGAAGATATTTCCTTTTTCACCAAAGGCCTCAATGTGTTCCCATATATCCCTTTGCAGCTTCTACAAAAACAGTGTTTCCAAACTGCTGCATGAAAAGAAAGTTTTAACTCTGTGAGATTTATGCACACATCACAAAGCAGTTTCTCAGATAGCTTCTCCTTGTCCTTATCCTGGGATATTCGCATTTTTGCCATTAGCCTCGATGTGCTCTTAAATATCCATTTGCAGAATAGAGAAAAAGATTGTTTCCAAACTGCTGAATCAAAGGAAAGTTTTAGCTCTGTGGAATGAATGCACACATCACAAAGCAGTTTGCCAGAAAGCTTCATTGCAGTTTTGATCCTGGGATTTTCACTTTTTCATCACTGGCTTCAATGAGCTCACAAGTATCCATTCACAGAAAGGATAAAAACAGGGTTTCCAAACTGCTGAATCAAAAGAAAGTTTTACTCTGCAAGATAAATGCACACATCACAAAGTGGATTCTCAGGTAGTTTGCTTCTAGTTTTTATCCTTTGATATTAACTTTTTCACCTTTGGCCTCAATGAGCTCCCAAATGTCCACTCACAGAATGGACAAAAACAGTGTTTCCAAACTGCTGAATCAAAAGAAAGATTTCACATTGTGAGATGAATGCACACATCACAAAGTGGATTCTCAGGTAGCTTGCTTCTAGTTTTTATCCTTTGATATTCACTTTTTCACCATTGGCCTCAATGAGCTCCCAAAAGTCCATTCACAGAATGGACAAAAACAGTGTTTCCAAACTGCTGAATCAGAAGAAAGATTTCACACTGTGAGATGAATTCACACATCACAAAGTGATTTCTCATATAGCTTCCTTCTAGTTTTTATCCTTAGATATTAGCTTTTTTGCCATTGGTCTCAATGAGCTCCCATATGTCCATTCAAAGAATGGACAAAAAGAGTGTTTCCAAACTGCTGAATCAGAGGAAAGTTTTAACTCTGTGAGAGGAATGCACACATCACAAGGCAGTTTCTAAGAAAGTTTCTTTCTAGTTTTTATCTGAAGATATTTTCTTTTTCACCGTAGGCCTCAATGCACTCCCATATATCCCTTTGAGGATTCTACAAAAACAGTGTTTCAAACAGCTGAATGAAAAGAAATGTTTAACTCTCTGAAATGAATGAACATATCACAAAGTGGTTTCTCAGATAGCTTCCTTCTAGTTTTTATCCTGGGTATCTTCTTTTTCACCACAGTCCTCAATAAGCTCCGAAAACTCCATTCACAGAATGGACAAAAACCGAGATTTCAAACTGCTGAATCAAAAGAAAGTTTTCACTGTGAGATGAACACACACATTCAAAAATGGTTTCTCATAGGTTCCTTCTAGTTGTTATTTTTTGGATATTTGCATTTTTGCTATTGGCCTCAATGAGCTCCCAAACTTTGCAAGATGAATACACACATCACAACAAGGCTTCTCAGATAGCTCCCTTCTACATTTTATCCTGGGATGTTCACTTTTTTCACCTTTGGCCTCAGTTATCACCCAAATGTCCATTTGCACATTGGAAAAAACAGTGTTTCCTAACTGCTCAATTAAAAGAAAGTTTGATCTCCGTGAGATGAATGTAAACGTCACAAAACGATTTCTCAGATAGCTTCCTTCTAGTATTTATCTGAAGATATTTTCCTTTTCACCATATGCCTCAATGCACTCCCAAATATCCCTTCACAGATTCTACAAAAACAGTGTTTCCCTACTGCTGAATGAAAAGAAATGTTTAAGCCAGTGAGACAAATGCACACAACACAAAAAGGTTTCCCATATAGCTTCCTTCTTGTTTTTATCCTTGGATATTCGCTCTTTTGCAATTGGCCTCAATGAGCCCAACATGTCCATTTGCAAAATGGACAAAAACAGTATTTTCAAACTGCTGAATTTAAAGAAAGGTTTAAATCTGTGGGATGAATAGACATATCACAAAGCAGTTTCTCACAAAGCTTCTTTCCCATTTTTTTCAGAAGATAATTTCTTTAACACCATAGACCTCAATGCTCTCTCAAATATCAATTCGCTAATTCCACAAAAACAGTGTTTCCAAACTGCTCAATGAAAAGAAATATTTAATTATGAGAGATGAATGGACCCATCACAAAGCGTTTTCTCAGATAGCTTCCTTCCAGTGAATATCCTTCTATATTCGCTTTTTCGCCATTGGCCACAAAGAGCTCCAAAATGGCCATTAGCATAATGGAAATAAACATTGTTTCCAATCTGCTGAATGAAAATAAACGTTTAACTCTGTGACACGAAAGTACACATCACAAAGCAGTTTCTCAGAGTGCTTCTTTCTAGTTTTTATGTGACAATATTTCCTTTTTCACTATAGGCCTCAATGCACTGCCAAATATCCCTTCACAGATTCTACAAAAACAGTCTTTCCAAACTGTCAAATGAAAAGCAGGTTTTAACTCTGTGAAGTGAATGCACACATCACAAAACGGTTTCTCAGGTTGCTTCCTTCTAGTTTTCATCCTTGGATATTCACTTTTTCAACATTGGCCTCAATGAGCTCCCAAATGTCCATTTATAGTATGGACAAAACACTATTTCCAAACTGCTGAATCTAAAGAAAGGTTTAACCCTGTGAGATGAATGCACAGCTCACAAAGCATTTTCTCATAGCTTCTTTCTAGTTTTAATCTGAAAATATTTCCTTTTTCAGCAAAGGCCTCCATATGCTCCTAAATTACCCTTTTGCAGATTCTACAAAAACAGTGTTTCCAAACCACTAAGTTAAAAAAAGGTTTAACTCTGCAATGTGATGGCACATTTTATTGAGCAGTTTCTCAGATAGCTTCCTTCTAGTATTTTTCCTGGGGTATTCTCTTTTTTGCCATTGGTTTCAATGAGCTCTGAAATGTCCACTCACAGAATGGGAAAAAAAAACAGTGTTTCCAAAGCGCTGAATCAAAAGAAAGGTTTACCTCTCTGAGATGAATGCACACATCAGAATGTCATTTCTCATAAATCTTCTTTCTAGTTTTTATTAGAAGATATTTTCTTTTGCACCAAAGTCCTCAATGCACTCCCACATATCACTTTGCAGATACTAAAAAAATAGTGTTTACAAACTGCTCAATGAAAAGAAAGGTTTAACTCTGTGAGATAAATGCACACATCACAATGTGGTTTCTCAGATAGTTTCCTTCTATTTTTTTTCCTGGTATATGCCCTTTTTCACATTGTCCTCTATGAACTACCAAATATCAATTCACAGAATGGACCAAAACAGTGTTTCAAAACTGCTGAATCAAAAGAAAGGTTTAAACCTTTGAGAAGAATGCACATATCACAAATTGGTTTCTCAAATGGCTTCCTTCTAGTTTTTATCCCAGGATATTCGCTTCTTTGTCATTGGCCTCAATGAGCTCCCAAATGTCCATTCGAAGAAAGGAAAAAGACAGTGTTTGAAAACTGATGAATAAAGCAAAGTTTTAACTCTGTGAAATGAATGCACACATCACAAAGCAGTTTCTCAGAAAGCTAATTTCTAGTTTTTATCTGAAGTTATTTTCTGTTTCACCTTAGGCCTCTATGCGCTCCTAAATATCCCTTTGAAGGATCTACAAAAATAGTGTTTCAGGCCGGGCACGGTGGCTCACGCCTGTAATCCCAGCACTTTGGGAGGCCGAGGTGGGTGGATCATGAGGTCAGGAGATCGAGACCATCCTGGCTAACAAGGTGAAACCCTGTCTCTACTAAAAATACAAAAAATTAGCCGGGCACGGTGGCGGGCGCCTGTAGTCCCAGCTACTCGGGAGGCTGAGGCAGGAGAATGGCGTGAACCCGGGAAGCGGAGCTTGCAGTGAGCCGAGATTGCGCCACTGCAGTCCGCAGTCCGGCCTGGGCGACAGAGCGAGACTCCGTCTCAAAAAAAAAAAAAATAGTTTTTCAAACAGCTGATTGAAAAAGAAAGGTTTAACTCTCTGAGGTGAATGAACATATCACAAAACTGTTTCTCAGATAGTTTCCTTCTAATTTTTATCCAGGAATATTTGCTTTTTCACCACTGGCTTCAATAAGCTCCCAAATATCCATTCCCAGAATGGACAAAAACAGAGTTTCCAAATTGTTGAATCAAAAGAAAATGTGAGCTCTGTGAGAGAATGCACACTTTCCAAAGCAGTTTCTCATAGTTTCCTTCTAGTTTTTATTTTTGGAAATTTACTCTTTTGCTATTGGCCTCAATGATCTCCCATTCACAGAATGGACAAAAAGTATGATTCCAAACTGCTGAATGATAAAAAGGTTTAAATTTGTGAGATGAATGTGCACATCACCAATCGGTTTCACAAATAGTTTCCTTGTAGTTTTTATCCTTGGATATTTGCTTTTTTTCCATTGGCCTAAATGAGCTCCCAATTGACCATTCGCAGAATGGGCAAAAACAGTGTTTCCAAACTGCTGAATCAAAAGAAAGGTTTAAATTTGTGAGATGAATGCACACACCACAAAGCAGTTACTAAGGAAGCTCCTTTCTAGTTTTTATCTGAAGATATTTTCTTTTCTCAATAGGCCTCAATGCCCTCCAAAATACACCTTCACAGATTCTACAAAAACACTGTTTCCAAACAGCTGAATAAAAATAAACATTTACTTCTGAAAAATGAATACACACATCACAACACGGTTTCTCAGCTCCCTTCAAAGTTTTATCCTTTGATATTCTTTTTTTTTCACCACTGGCCTCAATTCACTCTCAAATGTCCATTCACAGATTGGACAAAAACAGTTTCTCCAAATGGCTCAATTAAAACAGTTTTATTTCTGTGAGACAAATGCAAACATCACAAAGCAGATTCTCAGATAGCTTCCTTATAGTTTTTATCTTAGAATATTTTCTTTTTTGCCATTGGCCCCAAGGAGCTCCCAACTATCCATTCTCAGAATGGACAAAACAGTGTTTCCAAACTGCTGAATGAAAAGAAGAGTTTAACTCAGTGAGATGAATGCACACATCACAATGCAGTTCCTCAGAAAGCTTTTTTCTGATTCTTTTTTTTCTTTCTTTTTTTTTTCTTTTATTATTATACTTAAATTTTAGGGTACATGTGCACATTACGGAGGTTAGTTACATATGTATACATGTGCCATGCTTGTGCACTGCACCCACTAACTCGTCATCTAGCATTAGGTATATCTCCCAATGCTATCCCTCCTCCCTCCCCCCACCCCACAACAGTCCCCAGAGTGTGATGTTCCCCTTCCTGTGTCCATGTGATCTCATTGTTCAATTCCCACCTATGAGTGAGAATATGCGGTGTTTGGTTTTTTTGTTCTTGCGATAGTTTACTGAGAATGACGATTTCCAATTTCATCCATGTCCCTACAAAGGACATGAACTCATCCTTTTTTATGGCTGCATAGTATTCCATGGTGTATATGTGCCACATTTTCTTAATCCAGTCTATCATTGTTGGACATTTGGGTTGGTTCCAAGTCTTTGCTATTGTGAATAGTGCCGCAATAAACATACGTGTGCATGTGTCTTTATAGCAGCATGATTTATAGTCCTTTGGGTATATACCCAGTAATGGGATGGCTGGGTCAAATGGTATTTCTAGTTCTAGATCCCTGAGGAATCGCCACACTGACTTCCACAATGGTTGAACTAGTTTACAGTCCCACCAACAGTGTAAAAGTGTTCCTATTTCTCCACATCCTCTCCAGCACCTGTTGTTTCCTGACTTTTTAATGATTGCCATTCTAACTGGTGTGAGATGGTATCTCATTGTGGTTTTGATTTGCATTTCTCTGATGGCCAGTGATGATGAGCATTTTTTCATGTGTTTTTTGGCTGCATAAATGTCTTCTTTTGAGAAGTGTCTGTTCATATCCTTCACCCACTTTTTAATGGGGTTGTTTGTTTTTTTCTTGTAAATTTGTTTGAGTGCATTGTGGATTCTGGATATTAGCCCTATGTCAGATGAGTAGGTTGCGAAAATTTTCTCCCATTTTGTAGGTTGCCTGTTCCCTCTGATGGTAGTTTCTTTTGCTGTGCAGAAGCTCTTTAGTTTAATTAGATCCCATTTGTCAATTTTGGCTTTTGTTGCCATTGCTTTTGGTGTTTTAGACATGAAGTCCTTGCCCATGCCTATGTCCTGAATGGTATTGCCTAGGCTTTTTTCTGATTCTTATCTGAAGATATTTTCCTTTTCACCACAGGCCACAATGCACTCCCAAATATCCCTTTGTGGATTCTACAAAAACAGTGTTTCTAAACCACTGAATGAAAAGAAATGTTTAAGTCGGCGAGACAAATGCACACATCACAAAGAAGTTTCTTAGATAGGTTCCTTCTAGTTTTTATCCTTGGATATTCACTCTTTTGCAATTGGCCTAAATGAGCTCAAAAATGTCCATTCGAAAAATGGACAAAAACAGTGTTTCCAAACTGCTGAATGTGAAGAAAGTTTTAACTCTGTGAGATGAATGGCCACATCACAAAGCAATTTCTCACAAAGGTTCTTTCCCATTTTTTCCAAAAATATTTTCTTTTTCTCCATAGGCCTCAATGCACCCCCAAATATCAATTCACAAGTTCTACAAAAACAGTGTTTCCAAACTGCTCAATGAAAAGAGAATTTTAACTATGTGAGATTAATGCACAGTTCACAAAGCAGTTTCTCAGATACCTTTCTTCTTGTTTTTATCCCTTGTCACCATTGGCTTCAATGATCTCCCAAATGTCCATTTGCAGAATTGACAAAAACTCTGTTTCCAAACTGCAAACTGCCAAATCAAAAGAAAGCTTTAACTCTGTGAGATGAATGCACACGTCACAAAGCAGTTCCTCAGAAAGCTCATTTCTAGTTTTTATCTGAAGTTATTTTCTGTTTCACCTTAGGCCTCTATGTGTTCCTAAATATCCCTTCACAGTTTCTACAAAAACAGTTTCTCCAAACTGCTGAGGGAAAATGAAGGTTTAACTCTGTGAGGTGAATGCACACATCACCAAGAGAGTTCTCTGATTGCTTTCTTCTAGTTTTTACCCTCGGATATTCGCTTTTTCGCCATTGGCCTCAAATAGCTCTGAAATGTCCATTCGCAGAATAGGCAAAAACTGTGTTTCCAAACTGCTGAATCAAAAGAAAGGTTTAACTCTGTGAGTTGATGGCACACTTCAAAAAGTAGTTTCTCAGAAAGCTTCTGTCTAGTTTTTATTTGAAAATATTTCCTTTACAACCGTTGGCCTCCATGCACTCCAAAATATCCTTATGCAGATTGAATAAAAACCGTGTTTAAAACTGCTGAATAAAAAGAAAGCTTTACACATGACAATGTGATTTCTCAGATAGCTTCATTCTAGTTTTTAACCTGGGATATTAGCTTTTTTGCCAATGACCTCAATTAGCTCCCAAATATCCATTCACAGAAAGGAAAAAAAACTATTTACAAACTGCTGAATCAAAGAAAGATTTAAATCTATGCAATGAATGCCCCCATCACAAAGTGGTCTCAAGGAACTCTCAAGTGTCCATTTGCAGAATGCCCAAAAACAGTGTTTCAAAACTGTTGTATCAAAAAAAGGTTTAACTTTGTGAAATGAATGCACACATCACAAAGCAATTTCTCAGATAGCTTCCTTCTAGATTTCATCCTGGGATAGTCTCTTTTTCACCATTGGCTTAATGACCTTTCAAATGTCCATTTGCAGAAAGTACAAAAATAGTGTTACCAAACCGCTGAATCAAAAGCAATGTTAAACTCCGTGAGATGAATGAGCATACTGAAAAGTGGCTTCTCCAGTAGCTTCCTTCTTGATTTTATCCTGGGATATTTGCTTTATCACCATTGGACTCAATGAGCTCGCAAATGACCGCATGCAGAATGGACAAAAACAGTGTTTCCAAACTGCTGAATCAAAAGAATGGTTTAACTCTTTGAGATGAATGCAAACATCACATCTCAGAAAGTTACTTTCTAGTCTTTTTCTGAAGATATTTTCTTTTTCACCATATGCCACAATGCTCTCCCAAATACCTCTTAACTGATTCTACAAAAACAGTATTTCTAAACTGCTGAATGAACAGAAAGTTTACCTCTGTGAGATGAATGCACACATCACAATGCTGTTTCTCAGATAAATTCCTTATAGTTTTCATAATGGGATATTCGGTTTTTCGCTATTGCCCTCAATGAGCTCCCAAATGTACATTCACGGAATGAACAAAAACTGTGTTTCCAAACTGCTGAATCAAAAGAATGGTTTAACTCTTGGAGATGAATGAAAGCATCACAAAGCAGTTTCTCAGAAAGTTTCTTTCTAATTTTTATATATGAAGATATTTTCTTTTTCACTATAGGCCACAATGTGCTCCCAAATATCCCATCACAGATTCGAACAAAAGAGTGCTTTAAAACTGCTCAATAAAAGGAAAGATTTAATTCTCTGAGATGAAGGCACACATCAAAAATTGGTTCCTCATATAGCTTCCTTTTGGATTTGCCCTGGGATTATCGCACTTTCATCATTGACCTCAAAGAGCTCCCAAATGTCCATTCACAGAAAGGACTAAAACAGTGTTTCCAAACTGCTGAATCAAAGAAACTTTTAAATCTGCGTGATGAATACACCCATCACAAAGCGATTTCTCATACAGCTTCCTTCTAGTTTTTATCCTTGGATATTCACTTTTTCACCATTGGTCTCAAGGAGCTCCCAAGTGTACATTCACAAAATGGACAAAACCAGTATTTCAAAACTGCTGAATCCAAGGAAAGGTTTAATTCAGTGAGGTGCATGTACACATCACAAAGCAGTTTCTCAGAAAGATTATTTCTAGTTTTTATCTAAATATATTTACTTTTTCACCATAGGCATCAATGCACTCCCAAATATTTCTTAGCAGATGCTAAAAAACAAAAAAAAAACTTTCCAAACTGCTAAATGAAACGAAATATTTAACTCTGCTTGGTGAATGCACATATCACAAAACCGTTTATCAGATAGGTTCCCTCTAGTTTTTGTCCTGTGATATTCATTTTTTTGCCATTGGCCTCAATGAGCTCCCATATGTCCATTCACAGAATGGACAAAATAACTGCTGAATCGAAAGAAATGTTTACCTCTGTGAGATGAATGCACACTTCACTAAGCACTTTCTCAGAATGTTTCTTTCTAGTTTTTATCTAAAGGTATTTTCTTTTTCACCATTGGCATCAAAGAGCTCCCAAATATGCCATCACAGATCCTTCAAAAACAGTGTTTCCAAATGCTAAATGAAAAGAAATGTTAACATATCATAAAGCAGTTTTTCAGATAGCTTCATTCTAGTTTTTGTCTTTGTATTTTCACTTTTTTGCAATTCACCACAATGAGATCCCAAATATCCATTCACAGAAAGTACAAAAACAGTGTTTACAAACAGCTGAATCAAAAGAAAGTTTTACATCTCATAGATGAATGCAAAAACAACAAAGCAGTTTCTCAGAAAACTTCTTTCTAGTTTTTATTTGGAGATATTTTCTTTATCCACATAGGCCTCAAAACACACCCAAGTATTCCTTCGCAGATACTACAAAAACAGGGTTTCCAAATTGCTGAATGAAGAGAAAGGTTTACTTCAGTGAGATGAATACACATCAAAAAGCAGTTCCTCAGATACCGTTTTTCTAATTTTTATCCTAGGATATTCTCTTTTTCACCATTGTCCTGAAAGAGCTCCTAACTGTCCATTCTCAGAATGGACAAAACCATGTTTCTAAACTGCTGAATGAAAAGAAACTTATACCTCTGTGGGAAGAATTGACACATCACAAAGCATTTTCTCTGGTAGCTTCCTTTTAGTTTTTATCCTGGGATATGCACTTTTTCACTATTGGCCTCAATAAGCTGTCAAATATCCATTGGCAGAATGGACAAAAACAGTGTTTCCAAACTCCTGAATGAAAAGACAGGTTTAACTCTGTGAGATGAATGCACACATCACAAAGCCGTTTCTCAGATAGCTTCCTTCTAGTTTTTATCCTGGGATATTTGCTTTTTCTCCACTGACTTCAATGAGTTTTCAAATGTCTATTCACAGAATGGACAAAAACAGTTTTTGAAAACTGCTATATCAAAAGAAAGGTTTAACTCTGTGGAATGAATGCACACATCACAAATCAGTTTCTCAGAAAGCTTCCACCTAGTGTTTATCTGAAGGTATTTTATTTTTCACCATAAGTCTCAATGCACTGTGAAACAACCCTTCAGATATTCTACAAAAACAGTGTTTCAGAACTGCTGAATGAAAAGTACGTTATAACTCTGAGAGTTGAATGCACACCAAACAAGACAGTTTTTCAGATAGCTTCCTTCTAGTTTTTATCCTGAGATATTCACTTTTTCTTCATTGGCCTCAATGAGTTTTCAAATGTCTATTCACAGAATGGACAAAAACAGTTTTTGAAAACTGCTGAATTAAAAGAAAGGTTTAACTCTCTGGAACGAATGTGCACATCACAAATCAGTTTCTCAGAAAGCTTCCATCTAGTTTTTATCTGAAGGTATTTTATTTTTCACCATAGGCCTCAATGCACTCCGAAATTGCCCTTCAGAGATTCTTAAAAAAGCAGTGTTTTCAAACTGCTGAATCAAAAGAAAAGTTTAACTCTTCAAGATTAATGCACACCTAGGAAAGCTGACTCTCAAATAGCTTCATGTAGTTTTTATCGTGGCATATTTTCTGTTTTGTAGTTGGCCTCAATAAGCTGCAAAATGTCCATTTGCAGAATGGACAAAAACAGTGTTTCCAATCTGCTGAATAAAAAGAAAGGTTTAACTCTGTGGGATGAATGCACACATCACAAAGCAGTATCTCAGAAAGATTCTTTCTAGTTTTTATCTGAATTTACTTTCTTTTCCACTGTAGTCCTCATTGTGCTCCCAAATATGTCTTCGCAGATTCTACAACAACAGTGTTTCCAAACTGCTGAATGAAAAGAAAAATTTAATTCTGTGAGATGAATGCACAATTTACAAGTGGTTTCTCAGATAGCGTCCTTCTAGTTTTTATCCTGAGATATTAACTTTTTTGCCAGCCTCAAGGAGCTTTCAAAAGTCTATTCACAGAATTGACAGAGACAGTGTTTCTAAACTGCTGAATCAAAAGAAAGGGTTCACTCTGTGAGATGAATGCCCACATCACAACACAGTTTCACAAAAACTTTCCGTCTGGCTTTAACCTGAACATATTTTCTTTTTCACCATAGGCTTAAATGCACTCCCAATTATTCCTTCTCAGATTTGAGAAAAACAGTGTTTCCAAACTGTTGAATGAAAGAAAGGTTTATCTCCATGAGATGGAAGCCCACATCACAGAGCACTTTCTCTAATAGTTTCCTTCTTGTTTTTCTCCTGGGATACTCGCCTTTTCGCCATTGGCCTCAATCTGCTCCCAAATGTCCATTCACAGAATGGACACAAACAGTGTTTCCAAACTGTCGAATGAAAAGAAACATTTAACTCAGCGTGATGAATGGACGCAACACACAGCAGCTTCTCAGCATGCTTCTTTCTAGTTTTTATTTGAATATACTTTCTTTTTCACCATAGGCTGCAATGTGCTCCCAAATATCCCTTTGCAGATTCTTCAAAAACAGTGTTTCCAATCTGCTGAATGAAAATAAAGGTTTAAATCTGTGAGGTGAAAGCACATATCACAAAGCAGTATCTCAGAGACCTTCCTTCTGTTTTTTATCCTGGGATATTTGCTTTTACTCCATTGGCCTTACTGAGTTCCTAAATGTCCATTCACAGAATGGACAAAAATAGTGTTTCCAAACTACTTAATGAAAAGAAAGGTTTAACTCGGTGAGATGAATGCACACATCACAAAGGGGTGTCTCAGGTAGCTTCTTTTTAGTTGTTATCTGAAGATATTTGCTTTTTCACTATAGGCTGCTATGTTCTCCCAAATATACTTTTGCAGTTTCTACAAAAACAGGGTTTCCACACTCCTGAATGAAAAGAATTGTTTAGCTCTGTGAGATGAATGCATGTATCAGAAAGCAGTTTCTCAGAAAGCTTCTTTCTAGTTTTTATCTGAATATATTTTCTTTTTCACCATAGTACTTAAAGTGCTCCCGAATATCCCTTTGCAAGTTTTACAAAAACCGTGTTTCCTAATTGCTGAATGCAAAGAAAGTCTTATCTCTGCCAGGTGAATGCATACATCACAAGGCAGTTTCTCAGATCATTTCCTTCTAGTTTTTATTTTGGGATATTCACTTTTTTACCATTGGCCTCAATGAGCTGCTAAATGTCCATTCAGAGAATGGACATAAACAGTGTTTCCAAACTGCTGAATCAAAACAAAGTTTTAACTCTGTGAGGTGAATTCGCACATCACAAAGCCGTTTCTCACAAAGCTTCTTTCTAGTTTTCATCTGAACATATTTTCTACTTCACCATAGGCCTCAAGGTGCTCCCAAGTATACTTTCACACATTCTACAAAAACAGTGTTTCCAACTGCTGAATCAAAAGAAAAGTTTAACTCTGTGACATAAATGTACACATCACAATATGGTTTCTTTGATAGCTCCATTCTTGTTTTTATCCTGAAATATTATTTTGTTCATCACTGGCCTAAATGACCCCCAAATGTCCATTCACAAAATGGACAAAAACAGTTTTTCCAAAGTGCTGAATCAAAAGAAATTTTTACCTGTATGAGATGAATGCACACATCACAAAGCAGTTTTTCACAAAGGTTCTTTCTAGATTTTATCTGAAGTTATTTTCTTTTTCACCATAATCCTCAAAGTACTCCCAAATATCTCTTCTCAGATTTTACAAAACTGTTTCCAAACTGCTGAATCAAAAGAAAGGTTTATCTCTTATAAGTGAATACATACATCACAGATCAATTTCTCACATAGCTTCCTACTATTTTTTACCCTTGGATATTTCCTTTTTTGAAATTGGCATCAATGACCTCCAAAATGTCCATTCAAAGAAAGGACAAAAACAGTGTTTGCAAACTTCTCAATCAAAAGAAATATTTATATCTGTGAGATGAATGGAAGCATCACAAAGCAGTTTCTCAGAAAGAGACTTTCTAGTTTTTTCTTAAGATATATACTTTTTCATATATGTCAATGTGCTCCCAAATATCTCTTCTCAGATTCTATAAAAACAGTGTTTCCAAACTGGTAAAAGAAAAGAAAATTTTCACTGTGAGATGAATGCACACATCACAAAGCAGTTTCTCAGCTAGGTTCCTTTGAGGTCTTATCCTTGGATAAAGGTGAAAAGGAGGCTTTTTCACCATTGGCCTCCAGGAGCTCCAAAATATTCTTTTGTAGGATGGACAAAAGCAATGTTTCCAAACTGCTGAAGGAAAAGAAAGATTTAACTCTGTGAGATGAATACATGCAACACATTGTGGTTTGTCAGATACCTTCCTCCCAATTTTTATCTGGAATCTTCAGTATTTTGCCTTTGGCCTCATTGACCTCCAAAATGTCCATTCACAGAATGGACATAAACTGTGTTTTCAAACTGCTATATCAAAAGAAATGTTTAACTATGTGAGATGAATGCACACGTGACAAAGTGGTTTCTCAGGTGGCTTCCTTCTAGCTTTTATCCTGAGAAATTTGCTTTTTTGCTATAGGCTTCAATGAGCTCCAAAATTTCCACTCACTAATTGGACAAAAACTGTGTTTCCAAACTGCTGAATCAAAAGACAGTTTTAACTCTATGAGATGAATGAACACATCACAATGCAGTTTCTCAGAAAGTTTCTTTCTAGTTTTTATCTAAAGATAATTTCTTTTTCACTGTAGTCCTCATTGTGCTCCCAAATATCCTTTCATAGATACTACAAAAACAATGTTTCAAAAATGTTGAATGAAAAGAAAGGCTTATCTCCGCAAGATAAATGTCCATGAATTAAAGGGGTTTCTAAGATAGCTTCCTTCAAGTTTTTTTTTTTTTTTTTTCCCTTGGGACATTCGCTTTTTTGCCATTGACAACAATGTGCTCCCAAATGTCCATTTTCAGAATGGGCAAAAACAGTGTATCCAAACTGCAGAATGAAAAGAAAGGTTTCACTCTGTGAGATGAATGCTGGCACCACAAAGTGATGTGTGAGATAGATTCCTTCAAGTTTTTATCCTGGGATATTCCGTTTTTCTCCTTTTGCCTCAATGATCTCTGAAATGTCCATTCACAAAATGGACAACAACAGTTTTTCCAAACTGCTGAATCAAAAAAAGTTTAGCTCTGTGAGATGAATGCACACATCACAAATTAGTTTCTCAGAAAGCTTCTTTCTAGTTTTTGTCTGAAGATATTTCGTTTTTCACCATTGGGCTCAATGAACTCAAAAATATGACTTTGCAGATTCTACAAAAACACTGTTTCCAAACTGGTGAATGAAAAGAAACTTTTAAGACTGTGAGATGATGGCACACATCACATAGCAGTTTCTCAGATACCTTCCTTCTAGTTTTTATCCTGGGTTATTCACTTTTTTGCCATTGGCCTAAATGAGCCCCCAAATGTCCATTAGCAGAATGGACAAAAACAGTGTATCCAAACTGGTGAATCAAAAAAAGTATTAACTCTGTGAGATGAATGCACACATCAAAATGCAATTTCTCAGAAAGCTTCTTTCTAGTTTTTATCTGAAGATATTTTCTTTTACACCATAGGCCTCAATGTGCTCTAAAATATCCCTTTGCAGATCCTATAAAAACCGTGTTTCCAAACTGTTGAAGGAAAAGAAATGTTTAATTTTGTGAGATGAATGTACACATCATAAATCCATTTCTCAGATAGCTTATTTCTAGTTTTTATCCTCAGTTATTCACTTTTTTGCCATTGACCTCAATGAGCTCCCAAATACCCATTTACAGAATGAACACAAACAGTGATTCCAAACTGCTGAATCAAAAGAAAGCTTTAAATCAGCGAGATCAGTGCACTCACCACAGAGTGGTTTCTCAGATAGCTTCCTTCTAGTTTTTACCCTGGTATATACACCTTTTCATGTGTGCCTTAATGAACTCCCAAATGTCCATTCACAGAATGGACAAAAACAGTGTTTCCAAACTGCTGAATCAAGATAAATGTTTATCTCTGTAAGATGAATGCATACATGACAAAGCAGTTTCTCAGAAAGATTTTTCTAGCTTTTATCTGAAGACATATTCTTTCCCACTTTAGATCTCAGTGTGCTCCCAAATACGCCTTTGCAGATTCTTCAAAAACAGTGTTTCCACACTGATAAATAAAAAGAAAATTTTAATTCTGAGAGATACATGCACACATCACAAAGCAGTTTCTCAGAAAATGTCTTTCTAATTTTTATCTGAAGATATATTCTTTTTTCATCACAGGACTCAATGCACCCCCAAATATCCCTTCTCAGAGTCTACAAAAACAGTGTTACCAAGCTGCTGAATCAAAAAAGAGGTTTAACTCTGT